>NC_000014.9:69611713-69763228 GCF_000001405.40 Homo sapiens | reverse complement strand
ATGTTCCCAACACATAGAAGTGATAAACCCACAAAGTAATGAATATCCTAAATACTCTGACTTGATCATTACACATCCTATGCATGTAATAAAATATTTCATATGCCCCCAAGTATGTAGAAATTATATGTATCAATAGAAAAATTTTAAATTATTTTTAAAAATCATTTTCTGACCCTTGAACTGATTCCTAGATTTTCAACTGCTCTATGAATGCTCCACCCAACCCCCTTTGTCAGATAATAAAACTGTAAACAAAGAAAAACTGAAAACAAAGAAACAGGATTTGATCTTTATTTTTAAAATAAAGTTTGATTCCTGTTATAAAAAGAAGTATACATATATGCTTATTATAGGAAAAATGTTCAACAGGAAAATATTGAAAGAGGAAAACACAATCCTGTTTCACCAAGTCAACCTCTGATTGTAGTTTGTTGTATTTCCTTCTTGTGGGGTTTTTTTTTTTCTGTTTCATGTTTTTCAGTACAAAAGTAGTACCTCATCTTTTTTTTTTTTTAGACATATTCTCGCTCTGTCGCCTGGCTGGAGTGCAGTGGCGTGACCTCGGCTCACTGCATCCTCTGCCTGGCGGGTTCAAGTGATTCTCCTGCCTCAGCCTCCCCAGTAGCTGGGACTACAGGCACATGCCACCACGCCCAGCTAATTTTTTGCATTTTTTAGTAGAGACAGGGTTTCACCATATTGGCCAAGCTGGTCTCAAACTCCTGACCTCATGATCTGCCCACCTCAGCCTCCCAAAGGGCTGGGATTATAGGCGTGAGCCACTGTGCCCGGTCAAAAATATTGAAAGAATGAAACACAACCCTGTCTCAGCAACTCAACCTCTGATTGTAGTTTGCTGTATTTCCTTTTTGTGGGTTTTTTTTTTCTGTTTAATGTTTTTCAATAAAAAAGTAGTACCTCATCGTTTTTTAAAACATAGATATGAGATTTTTAAAAGTCATCCCTATTCCCAGCCCCTAAGAGAAAACTACTTAGCATTATTGAACTTTCCCTTTCGTGTTCTTCTATAAGAACAATTGTGTTTTCAAAATATGAATCATCGTCATACATATACTTGGTTTTATGAGGGCTTCTTAATTCCTAAAACTTAACCATGTGCATTTGCCATGTTTCTTTGTCTTAATATTTTATGATCATGAGTATATATTCAAATTTTTACTGTTATTTTCACTTTACACAACTACATGCTTGGGGAAAATATTCATTCTGACCAACTTTTCTGTTTTTCTGAAAATGTCTTAAATGTCAGCAGATGCTTAAAAATTGCTATCCAAAAAATCCCAACACGAAGAAAAAGTGTTACTTCCTTGCCTCTACCTTATAATTCTAAAGATTTTTCAAAAGAATAACTATATTTAAGTAATTTCTCTTAGAAATATATGGGGTTTGTTAATGTCCAGTTTTTTACTCAGGTTCACCTTTATATACCTACCTGACTTCCTTAGATTGTTACATTCTGATTTTTGTTGTTGTTGTTTAACTCAGTGTACAATATTTAAAATACCTATGAACTTACTAATTTGAGTGCCTAGATCAGAAGGCATCCCATAGCAAGGAGTGTGTAAGAGACAGAGCAACAAAGGGCTGAACTCACTTTCTTTTTTTTTGAGACAGAGTCTCACTCTGTTGCCCAGACTGGAATGCAGTGACACGATCTCAGCTCACTGCAAGCTCCGCCTCCCGGGTTCACACCAGTCTCCTGCCTCAGCCTCCCGAGTAGCTGGGACTACAGGTGCCCACCACCATGCCCGGCTAATTTTTTTTTTTTTTTTTTAGTGGAGACGGGGTTTCACCATGTTAGCCAGGATGGTCTCGATCTCCTGACCTCGTGATCCACCTGCCTCGGCCCCCCAGAGTGCTGAGATTACAGGCGTGAGCCACCGCGCCCGGCCTAAACTCACTTTCATGAGAAACCCACTCTCTCAATAACAAACCCACTCCCATTATAACGGCATTAATCCATTCACGAGGGCAGAGCCTTCATGACCTAATCACCTCTTAAAGGTCCTACCTCTCAACACTGTTACATTGGGGATTAAGTTTCCAATACACAAAGTTTAGCCAACACATTCAAACCATAGCAGCACTCAAGGATTTATGAAAAAGAGAAGTAACCAGACAAGGGCCATATCTACCCAAGGACCACCCCCTAATGCCTACCCTCTAAAACTCCTCCACCCCCACAAGCTATCAGGAACTGGAAACTGACTAATTACTGGGCTATTTCCTTTTTTGATATCAAGAGGGAAGCCTCAAAAGCATGAACTCCCTAAAGCAATTCGTAACAGTGCCATTGTAGAGACCCTGCCAAATCAGCCCCAATCCTGGGAATTATTCCTTCCCTGATATAATTATTAGGGGCAAGGTACACAGAATTAATCCAGTGAAGAACATTTGATACCTTATCTGTTCTATAAATCAGACCACCCACAAGTGGGCCATGTTTAGTCCAGAAAAAAGTGGCTTACTCTTGCACAAAAAGTATGGAAGGGAATGGGAAGCTCTGCCATATTTTTCTTCCTGGCTACTGTACCTAAAACAAAGTGTCCTCTTTTAAGAGCTTGGATATTGAGTACTCATCCAAATGGGCCATGGCTTGGGTTAAGGAGAATTGAACTAAGATATCCCACTGCTGAAGCAATTAGACCATCCTGTTGAGCTCTGTAGAGAATTGGTTGAATTCACAGCGAAATACCTTTAGGAATACAGGGCTACAGAAACCAGGAGCCTGACTAAAAGCCAGTATCTTAGTCTGTTTGTCCTGCTATAACAGAATACCACAGACTGAGTAATTTATAAAGAAAAGAAATGTATTTCTCACAGTTCTGGAGGCTGGGAGTCCAAAACCAAGGTGCCAGCATCTGATGAGAGCTACTCTCTGTTTCCAAGATGTCACCTTCAATGCTGCACCTTCTAGAGGAGAGGAAAGTTGTGTCCCCACATGGCAGAAGACAAAAAGGCAAGAGGAGTAAGTTCCCTCCAACAACCTCCTTTATAACATCATTAATTCGTTCATGAGGGTGGAGCTCTCATGACCTAAACCCTCCCCAAAGGCCCCATCTCTCAACATTGTTGAATTGGGAATTGCATTTCTAACACATTAATTTTGGGAGATAACTTCAGACCATAGGTGCCAGTGACCAGGAAAGGCCCAGCATCTCCATCATTAGCACATAAAACTAAGACAGCTTCTGGGTCTAGGTCTGGGGCATATAGCTACCTTGATCAGGCTGGGTATAGTCCACTCTCATGGCTTCTGCTGTCCTAATTCCTGATTAAGCCTCATGAGCTCCCAGCCAAAGACTCTATTCATAATGTCAGGGTATATTGTATAAATAGCTGAGTGTTGCTTAAAACAGAAGCAAGGAAAAAAGAAGCTGAAGGTGGACATTAGGAGGATGGTAGTAGATCTTAACTACCATGTTAATGAGCTTATACTCTACCCAGTGGGCACCAAGTAGATGCCACAAGGTTTTACACAAGAGATAACATGATCAGATTTATGTTTTAGGCGGGAAAGGCTGCGTGGGGGACGGTGGCCAAAACCAGTTAGGACTCTTTATGTAACAAGGAACAGAATCCCAGTATAACCACCTTAAGAAAAGTTTTGGCTGGGTGTGGTGCCTCATGCCTGTAATCCCAGCACTTTGGGAGGCCAAGGCAGTCAGATCACCTGAGGTCAGGAGTTCAATACCAGCCTGGCCAACATGGTGAAACTGTGTCTCTACAAAAACACAAAAGCTAGCTGGGCATGATGGTGGGTGCCTGTAATCCCAGCTACTTGGGAGGCTGAAGCGGGAGAATTGCTTGAACCTGAGAGGTGGAGGTTACAGTGAGCTGAGATTGCACCATTGCACTCCAGCCTGGGCGACAGAGTAAGACTCTGTCTCAAAAGAAAAAAAAAAAGTTGTATTTGTTGGTTAGTATAACTGAACATTTTATACACAGGCACACTGTGGGCTTGGCTTGATACAGAGTTCAAGTGGTGTCTACAGCATCCATCTCTCGGCTCTGCTTCCCCTGAGAATCAGCTTCATTCCCAGGCTGGTTCACCTTGCGTTGGCAAAATGCCTGTAGTTCTAGCCTCATGGCCTCACACCACGTAGGCCAGAGGAGGAGAGTGCGTCCCTTCCAGGAGCTTCTGTTGAAGCTTCTTAGATCCTTTCCAGAACTCCAGCAAATACTTCCTGATGTCACTGGCTTTCTGTGGGGTTATCTGCTCATCGCTGAGTCTATCACTAAGGCCAGAGCGACTGTATCTCAGTCAGTTTGGGCTGCTATAACAAATTACCATAGACTGGATGACTTCAGTAACAAGCATTTATTTCTCACTGGTTCTGGAGGCTGGAAATCTAAGATAAGGGTCTCACCATGGTTGGGTTGTAGGTGAGGGCCTTCTTCCTGGTTATGGCCTCACATGGCTTTTTTTGGTGCATGCACAGAAAGACAGAGAGAAAGCCTCTACCTCCCAGGCTCAAGCTATCCTCCCACTCCAACCCTCCAGAGTAGCTTGGTCTACAGGGGTACACTACCATGCCCCGCGAATTTTGTTTATTGTTTTTTAGAGACGAGGTCTCACTATGTTGCCCAGGCTGGTCTCAAACTCCTGTGCTCAAGCAATCCTCCTGCCTTGGCCTCCCAAAGTGCTGGAATTACACCTAGTATGAGCCACCACGCCCAGCCTCTTCCTCTTTTTTAAGGGCATTAATCCCATAGGGCCCCACACTCATGACCTCATCTAACCCCACTTACATCTCAAAAGCCCCACCTACAAATACCATCATATTGTGGATTAGGATTTCAACATGTGAATTTTGAGGGGACACAGCATTCAGTCCACAGCAGAACGGATGCGCTGATCAGCATTAGCCAGTCAGGACCTATGCTATAAATGGGGACCTACATCAGAAATGAAGGAGGGGCAGCCCCACTCATACTATAGCTTGGCAATGTGGGAGGGGTTGTTTCCCAAAGGAAAATCAAGTGATTGTTTTACCAAAAGAGTGAATTGACATTGTGGTGGCCAAACCCCAAAGTGACCCCTAAGGATCCTCACATGCTGGTCTTCACACACACCCTCCCACATGCACTAAGTTTATTCTATGTAACCAATAGAATATGGCTGAAGTGAAAACGTTGGCAATTAGGTTTTAAAAAACTATGACTTTCCTCTCTCTCTCTCTCTCTCTCTCTCTCTCTCTCTCTCTCTCTCGCAAACACACACACACACACAAATGTATACATTACTCACTTGAGGAGAAGCCAGCTGCCATGTTATGACACTCAGACAACCTATGCAGAGGCTGACTGAAGCCTCCAGCCAACAGCTAGCAAGGAAAGAGTCCTGCCCACACCATGTGAGTGAGCTTGGAAGCAGAGTCTCCAGCCCCAGTCGAGCCTTGAGACGATGGTGGCTCCAGCTGACAGCTTGACTGTAACCTCACAAGCAACCCTGATGCTGAACCATCCCACTAAGGTGCTCCCAGATTCCTAACCCCCAGAAACCACATGAGATAATATGTTTGCTGGTTAAATTGGGGGGTAATTTGTCACACAGCAATAGGTAACTAACCCAGACGGTGAGGCAAAAATAGTTGTGCATTAAGTCAATCGTGGGATTGATGGGGCAGCAGCAAAGGGTGGAGACAAATTGGAGAAATATTGAGAGGACCAAGTATAACAACTTGGTGATCAATTTGACATAATAGATAAAAGAGAGATAAGAATAAAATTTCAAGCTGGGCACAGTGGCTCATGCCTGTAATCCCAGCACTTTGGGAGGCCAAGGCAGGCAGATTGCATGGGCCCAGGAGTACAAGACCAGCCTGGGCAACATGGTGAAACCCCATCTCTATAAAAACTACAGAAAAATTAGGCTGGCATGGTGGCACACACCTGTAGTCCCAGCTACTGGGGAGGCTGAGGTGGGAAGATCGCTTGAGCCCAGGAGGCAGAGGTTGCAGTGAACCAAGATTGCACCACGGCACTCCAGCCTGGGTGATAGAGTGAGACCCCATCTGAAAAAAATTTTTTTATTTAAAAAAGAATAAAATTGCACTTCCAGGCTGGAGTATGGGTATGTAGCATGGGTGCAATAGAGGGGTCAGAGAATAGAGAATGAACAGGTAATGCCCACGAGTCCACTCAGGCTCATTGATTTGGAAGTTTCTGGGCCATCCTAGGAGAAGATTCCGTCAGGCAGTAGGATGCATACGTCTAAAGCATAGGAGACAAATATGAGCCATTTTTTTTTTAAGTTGAGAAAAATCCCCATATATGTGACAGTTGATACCACGAAAACAGATAAAGTCACCCAGGTTTTTGTTGAGGCAAAGATTTGAAGGGAGAGCTCGGCACAATGGCTCATACCTATAATCCTAGCTACTTGGGGGGCTGAGGCAGGAGGATCACTTGAGTCCAGGACTTCAAGACTAGCCTGGGCAACATGACGAGACCCAGTCTCTGAAAATATTTTAACATTTTAGAAATTAAAAATAAATTGTTTTTTAAAAATTCAAGATGTGGAGGGAGTATTCTGTGCACAGATTAAGAATGTGTTTGCCTTGGAAGGAGCCTTCTAATGACCAGCGTGAAAAGGGCCATGAGCCCAGAAGAGCACACGTACAAATACTATGGGGGTGAGAATTCAAGGGAGATAAGCCGACCAAAGGCTTATAATCAGGGCTGGGACTAAGGATCACAGGAATATGATTAACTTGCCTTAGAATTCAGACAGAACCCTGGCACAATTGGTTTGTGTCCACTCTTGACCTGGTACATTTGTATATGTCAGTGTGGCTCACATGCTATGGATTAGTCCATCAAAAACACATTCCTGCTTTATTGCATTTTACATTTAATTTTAAATAAATGCTCCTTTTGGTTGTTATTACAAGGCATGTTAAGTGCATATTTAGTGTTTTGTTCTGGAAGCCATTTGCCAACCATGACCTGGTCTGACATCTGGGCCACAGTCACCACTGCTCAAATGTATGCCTTTCTCTAAATTTCTGTAGCACTTTATGCTTGTACATCTCCTCTAGCAGTTATCACAGACTTCCTTGGAATGTGATTATTTGTAGACAGATTATAAATTCTTTGATGTTAGAGACCCTGTTTTACAGATCTTTGCACCCTTCTCAGTGAGAAGCACAGTTTCCTGCTCATAATAAGTTGTAAACAAGTGTGCAAACCAGCTTGTACAGGACGTCACTTGGACTGGCTGATCAGTGCCACTCCCTGTCCTTGGATAATGTCATGTGCTGTTCTCATGGTTAAACTCTCTTAAGCAGCTATGTCTCTGCTGTCTAAAGCTACCCCTACTCATTACTAATTGTCTCATCATAGAACAATGCGTTTCTGTCTACCCTATGAATTTGCAGTTTTGAACTGAGAGGCCCAAAGGTGAAGCATCTTAATGACAGCAGGTGAGAAGAAAGGTGGCTTTCCCATCTGTGGCTGAAGTACCCAGGGCTGCCCTTGTACCAGCACCTCCTAAAATTGGGTTGTTTAAACCTCCCAGATCTCATGAGATGCCCCCAGCACCTTCCACTAATTTCCTCTCTCTGCTTAAGATGGCTCAAGTTGGCTTCTGTAACTTGAGAGCAAAATAGCTTAACATACAACATGATCCAGTGTAAGCAATCAAAAATGGATTTATTGTTAAGGATTCAGAAGTGTCTCATGAAATCCAAAGGTCAGAATGTGCTCAGGCCTGAGGAGGAGTCTGAAACAGGAAGTGGGAACTGTCAAGAACTCAGATACATACAATTTCCACCTCCCTCCTCTGTTTTTTTATGTCATTTGCTCACCTCCTGCAGCTTGGCTTTCCTTGCCTCTCAATCCATATGGGAGAAGATGACCACACCCTATCACCCAGTTTTCATATCCCTTCCATTCAAAAGTAGATCCCAGCCGGGTGCAGTGGCTCACACCTGTAATCCCAACATTTTGGGAGGCCAAGACAGGAGGATCACCTGAGGTCAGGAGTTCAAGACCAGCCAGGCCAACATGGTGAAACCCCGTCTCTACTAAAAATACAAAAATTAGCCAGGCATGGTGGCAGGCGCCTGTAATCCCAGCTACTCGGGAGGCTGAGGTGGGAGAATTACTTGAACCTCGGGGGGCGGAGGTTGCAGTGAGCCGAGATCACACCACTGCACTCCAGCCTGGGCAAAGAGCAAGACTCTGTCTCACAAAAAAAAAAAAAAAAAAAAAGGTAGATCCCAGAATGAGCATGTGAGTCTCAATTCCAAGTTCCCTGGAAAGGAAAACCTGATTGGCCCCGTTTAGGTAAGGTGTCTATTCTGGTCCAATCAAAGATGAGGTCACATGGTACAAACATGGCTGCCAAAGAGCTCACCTCATAGATGAGGATGATGTTTCTCAGTATTATTGTCAACAAAGGTGAAATCCCAAATGTTGAATAAACAAGCAGCTCCATTTCAAAATGGCCCTGACTGCCCTAGATTAAATTCCCAAGCACCCACCAACCTTTCACCAAAGCAGGCCAAACCCGCTTTATCTTCCAGCACTAGGCCCTGCTTTGGCAAAGACATGTGAAACCGTCTTATCTGCCTGGGTCATGCCTATCTTCCTTGCATGATTAGGCACAAGAAGATTTCCTAATGGTTACCTACTGTAATTGTAACATTCAGGAATAATTGGAGGGCTGATACATGCCCAGGTACTGTTCAAGGAGTTCCATAGGCTTCTTTCATTTGACCCCCTCAACAGCCCTAAGAGAGGTACTGCTAATCCTGTTTTACGGTAGAGGAAATATATTTTGAGAAGTTTCTTTCCCAAGCTCAATAACTATTAGTGACAGTGTAGGATTCAAGCCCAAGAGCTCTTCCAATGGGCCAAGGTCAACTCTGGGGTGGAATGGAGGAGTGAACAGAGTGGAGTTGAGCGCCTTGGCCAGGGAAGCAGAGGCTAAAATGGAAACCGAGTTTAGGCTGAGGGGCTCAGACACTGTGGATGCCCTGCTTAGTTTCTGAGGCACTGACACTCCCCACAGCCCTAACTCAGCACATGCCTATCTTACTCAACCTTCCCCAGTAAAATAGGGCTAATAAGGAGCAGAGTAGCATGATGATTACAGTGATTTATCTTTTGAGTCTCAAAGCATTTTATAAGCATTTCCTGTCCTGGGCAGATTTAAAAGATAGACCAAATTTAGACCACATACCCATAATAATAACTCACATTTATCAAGTGCTTACTGTTCCTGACACATGCTCAGAACTTTGCATTAAACCACCTACTTCCCCAAAACACAACAAGCTTTCATAAGAGGAGACTGAGGCTTAGAAAATAACTTCCAGGCAGGGTGTGGTGGCTCACGCCTGTAATCCCAGCACTTTGGGAGGCTGAGGCAGGCAGATTGCTTGAGCTCAGGAGTTTGAGATCAGCCTGGGCAACATGGTGAAACCCCATCTCTACAAAAAATTAGTCAGGCGTGGTGGCACGTGCCTGTAGTCCCAGCTACAGGGGGGCTGGGATGGGAGGATTGCTGCCGAAAGAAAGAAAAAAGGAAGGAAAGAAAGAAGGAAAGAGAGAAAGGAAGGAAGGAAGGAAGGAAGGAAGGAAGGAAGGAAGGGATGGATCCAAATTTCAACAGCAAGTATGCATTCGAACCCAAGCATTTTATCCCAAAGAGCCTCAAACTTTTACTATGTTTCAAACAAATAAATATTGGAGGTAGGGCTGAGCACAGTGGCTCATGCCTGTAATCCCAGCACTTCGGGAGGCCAAGGTTGGAGGTTTACTTGAGCCCAGGAGTTTAAGACCAGCCCAGGCAACATAATGAGACCTCACCTCTACAAAAAATTCAAAAATTAGTCAGGCATGGTGGTCTGTACCTGTGGTCTCAGCTACTCAGGAGGCGGAGATGGGAGGATCGCTTGAGCTCACAAGGTCGAGGCTGCAGTGAGCTGTGATCGTGCCACTACATTCCAGCCTGGGTAACAGAGTGAGACCCGGTCTCAAAAAAAAAAAAAACTCTAGATGTAGGCTGAATAAAAACTTAAGGACATATCCAGAGAAGTTTAAGAAAGGAATTTGCTACACAAGAGGAAATAAGGCCAAGGAGACATTCTCTCTAAAGGGAAAAAGCAGAATGGCAAGGCAGCTCTGGGTTATGAAAAGCAGCTTCCACCTCCTCTCCAGGAGGTCAAGGTTATCTTTACATCAAGCTCTTAACCATGGCACCTGCTCTGCTCAGCATGCCTGTGTGTGAATGCCTGGGGTATGTGAACCCCTGGGGAACACAGCATGACTTTCCAAGGGGTACTTGGAATTCCATTTTAAGGGACCCACCTACTATTCTAGATCCTCCACTTTGAAAAGAACTCTTTCCTAATTTGATTTGATGGTGAACTCTCCCGTGGTCCAGGTGTCTCTTTTTTTTTGAGACAGAGTCCCACTCTGTCACCCAGGCTGAAGTGCAGTGGTGCAATTTCCACCTCCCTGGTTCAAGTAATTCTCATGCCTCAGATTCCTGAGTAGCTGGGATTACAGGCGCACACTACCATGCCCAGCTAACTTTTGTATTTTTAGTAGAGATGGGGTTTCATCATATTCAAGGCCAGGGTGATCTTGAACTCCTAGTCCCAGGTGATCTGCCTGTCTCAGCCTCCCAAAGTGCTGGGATTACAGGCATGAGCTACTGCGCCTGACCCAGGTATCTCCTTTTTAACAGCCCTTTCCCCTCCAGACAGAGATTCAAGATGACTGAGAGGTTACCTTTCTTTTTGTCAGATGATAAAGAAGCACCTCAGAGGCCCCAAACAAAGGGACAATTGGAAATATTGGGTGGCATTGAGAAAGCCAGTGAGTCTCATGATAAGATAACAAATCCTTTCAGAAATCAAATGGTTTTCAATCTTTTTGCTTGTTTTGGAGACAAGGTCTTGCTCTGTCACCCAGGCTGGAGTGCAGTGGCACAATCATGGCTCACTGAGCCTCAACCTCCAGGGCTCAAGCGATCCTCCCCCTTCAGCCACCTGAGTAGCTGGGACTACAGGTGCCTGCCACCATGCCCAGCTAAAAAAAAAAAAAAAAAAAAAAAAAAAGACAGACATAACCAAGTTGCTGGCTAATGTATCAAGTATAATTTTTTATCATTCAAGGAATTTTAAAAATCGAGTGACATTGCTGTAATAAAACTCTATCCATCCCCACATACTTGTTTATATTAATATAAACGTTCCTTAGCACTTTCATGTATAAATATCTTTCTCCCAATGAACATTATTTATCCACAGTTGTATTTTAAAAGCTCTATCTACCTCATTAAGAGATGTATTTCTAGTAAAATTACTTTGGAAATGAAATAATTCTCAAAATTTTTATTATGTTTATGTTGTTTTGCTCATAGGAAATTAAAATTCACTATATACATTTAGATATACAATTTTAATGCATAGAATATGAAAGGGAGTTTTAAAACACTTTCAGCTATAAAAACATTATATTGTGATAAAAGTCTGCAGGTGAAGTAGAATGACAATGAGTTCAAATGGAAAAGGAATGATATAAATTTCTGTCATATTAGAGAAACTGGTTTCTATGTATTAAAATGAATCTGCCAGGCGCAGTGGCTCACACCTGTAATCCCAGCACTTTGGAAGGCCGAGGCAGGCAGATCACGAGGTCAGGAGTTCGAGACCAGCCTGGCCAACATAGTGAAACCCGGTCTCTACTAAAAATACAAAAATTAGCCAGGCATGGTGGCAGGCACCTGTAGTCCCAGCTACTTGGGAGGCTGAAGCAGGAGAATCACTTGAACCTGGGAGGCAGAGGTTTCAGTGAGCCAAGATCACACCATTGTACTCTAGCCCAGGTGACAGTACGAGACTCTGTCTCTAAAACAATTTTTTTAAATAATAAAATATAAAAAATAATAAAATAATAAATATAAAAATATATTTTATATTTTATAAAATATAAAAAATAATAATAATAAAATTTAAAAAATAATAAAATGGATCATCATCAGTATCAAATTGTGATGGGGCCAAGCATGGTAGCTTATGCCTATAATCCCAGCACTTTGGGAGGCTGAGGCAGGAGGATCACTTGAGGCCAGAAGTTGGAGCCCATCCTGGGCAACATAGCAAGACCCTGTCTCTTGAAAAAAAGAAAAAAATGGTGACAGTATGCAGGTCTCAAGGGATTTATTTAAAAGAGTGATATAACAGCTTTATTCTGAAATGTCAATACTGTTTTGTTTTGTTTTAGCCTTTTAGCAGCCTGAAGCCAGGGTTTTTAGTTTCTGTCTCTAGTGATAAGCAGAAAAGAGGGATGAGGAAGGGGCTTTACTGGTCCAACCAGAAACAGAAACTAAGAACCCATGACTGTATTCTCTCTTGGACACTTAAAGGGTAGGTGAACAATAAGATTGGAAGAGCACAGGCCTGAGCCAAGGAGCTCAACACACTAACACAGGGAAGTGGGCTTAAAAGGGTGAGTGTTACGGGAGTTACCCTGCCCCAGGGACAGTGTAGACACCTGGCCTCACATTAAATCCTCTCCCTGACTTCCCTCATCAGATGACATTCTGTGAAGCAGATGGCTTTTCTTAAAGGGCCATTTCATGCCCTCTCTTGGGCACCTCTTTCGTTCTTTGCAGTGGGTCACCAAGCCTATAGAAGCACTTTCAAAGTCACTGATTCTCAAACTCAGAGACCCACCAGAGTTGGACCCATTGGAAGGTCTGCTTAACAATGCAATTTCCAGGCCTTCCTTAAACCCATGGAATCAGATTCTCTAAAGTCTTTGAAAGAAACTGTCCCAAACATAAGCTGGAGTAGAGCGCTGTGGTTGGTATAAATAGCTGTTTCTTCCTGGAAGAACTTTGCATTCCCAACAAAACAACTGAGCAAATTTTTAAGAGACTTTAATGGTTTTAAGATCCCTTTCTAGGAGCCTCATCCAGCTACGTGTGGCCTTGGGAGGAGCCTAATGACCTTTCACCAATTCTAGAAGGGCTCTGATAATCTTTAACCAGACATTCTTTTTTTTCTCCCTGGTCTCTAGTCTAGCAATGATTATCTAAACTAGAACTGTCCAATAGCAACATAATGCAAACCACAGATGCAAGTGATACCCTGGTTTCTCCTGCCTCCTGAACAAATATTCCTGAGAAACACAACTGCCAAACTGTCCTTGCTTCACTGTGACACTCAATCCAGAGCTGCTCCTGCTTCCCCTTGTTCCATTCCCAAATCATTCAGCATAAGCTCCAAACCCTATAAAAATCTTTCCCCACTTCCTTATGAGGAGATGCCCAGGGATGGTCATAGTATGTGTCTTTCCTTATCACCCTAACTTTTTAAACTGTGGGTTTGTTGGCCAGGTGCAGTGGCTCATGCCTGTAATCCCAGCACTTTGGGAGGCCGAGGCGGGCAGATCACCAGGGGTCAGGAGTTCAAGACCACCCTGGCCAACGTGGTGAAACCATATCTCTACTAAAAATACAAAAATTAGCCAGGCACGCCTGTAGTCCCAACTACTCGGGAGGCTGAGACAGGAGAATTGCTTGAACCCAGGAAGTGGAGGCTGCAGTGAGACTGAGATCACACCACTGTACTTCACCCTGGGTGACAGAACGAGACTCCATCTCAAAAAATAAATAAATAAATAAATAAATAAACTATAGGTATGCACCAGTGGGGTTTAATGGGTCTTATCACAACACTGTGAAGTAGAATGATGTTATCCCCATAGTAAAGATGAAGACTCTGAGTCAAGTAATGTGTTTAGATCACAACTATACATGGTAGAACCTGGTTATGAAGCCAGGCTACCTAAAAATAGCAGCCATGGCCCAGTCCACCATGCACAGCTGGCCACCAACTTGGATGTAAATGTGACACGGACTAGTTAGAAGAGTGATCCAGAAATTGAAGTGTGCACAAGAATCACCTGCAGCAGCTGTTAAAAGGCAGATTTCCAGGAACCCACCCCACTCCCCACCAGCAGTTAAAGCAACTTTTCAGACACACTGATTACAAATACATGTCAAAGTTTTGTTTCAAACTTGCTGCAAGGCAGGAGGCTTTCTAAAAGAAGAAGAAATGAACTCAAAGATTTCTCTCTTGGCAGAGACTTTTTTTTTGAGATAGAGAGTCTCACTCTGTCACCCAGGCTGGGGTACAGTGGTGCAATCATGGCTCACTGCAGCCTCGACCTCCTGGATTCAAGTGGTCCTCCCACCTCAGCCTCCCAAGTCGCTGGGACTATAGGCCTATACCACTACATCCAGCTAATTTTTTATTTTTTGTGGAGATGAGTTCTTGCTATGTTGCCCAGGCCGGTCTCAAACTCGCGGGTTCAAGTAATTCTCCCACCTTGACCTCTCAAACTGCTGGGATTACAGGTATGAGCCACCTTGCCTGGTTTGGGCAGAGACATTTTAAAAAGAAAAAATAAGAATGTTTAAATATTTGCTGGCCAATATGGAACCACAAGCCAGATGTGGCTCTTGAGCACTTGAAGTGTGGCTAGTCTGAATTGAGATATGCTAGAAGTGTAAAATGGGATGTTCCATGTTCATTGAAAAAATTTCTGGTAGCAACACTTCTCATTGTCCATGATTTTAGAGAACAAGTTTTCTCAGCACTAGGTCATTGATGTTAAATAACAAAAACAGCCAGGCACGGTGGCTCACACCTGTAATCCCAGTGCTTTGGGAGGGTGAGATGCTTGAGCCCAGGAGACTGCTTGAGCCCAGGAGACTGAGACCAGCCTGGGCAATATGATGAAACCCCATCCCTACAAAAAATACAAAAATTAGCCAGGCATGGTGGCATGCACCTGTAGTCCCAGCTACTCAGTAGGCTGAGGTGGGAGGCTCACCTGAGCCTGGGAGATTGAGGCAGCAGTGAGCCAGGATTGTGCCACTGCACTACAGCCTGGCAACAGGTGAGACCCTGTCTCAAAACGAACAAATGAAAAAAGCATCATAGAGGATCCTGTCCTAAGACTCCCAGCAAACTTCCCAGAGCTAAAGATTCTCTTTTTGGCTGGGTGCGGTGGCTCACGCCTGTAATCCCAGCACTTTGGGAGGCTGAGGCGGGCAGATCAAGAGGTCAGGAGATCAACCTGGCTAACATGGTGAAACCCCGTCTCTACTAAAAATACAAAAAATTAGCCGGCCTGGTGGCGGGCGCCTGTAGTCCCAGCTACTGGGGAGGCTGAGGCAGGAGAATGGCGTGAACCCGGGAGGCGGAGCTTGCAGGTGAGCCAAGATCGCGCCACTGCACTCCAGCCTGGGCGACAGAGCGAGACTGCGTCTCAAAAAAAAAAAAAAAAAGATTCTCTTTTTGTCGTAATCATTGCTTTCTTTATCTAAGAATTCTTTTTTGACTCAGTCAGGGCTTTGATCCTGGACTTTGTTTTGTTTTCCATTGTGAAAGGAAAATATCTTGGGCCCCTGAGACCTGTCTCAGATTTTCTGGGTTCACATGTTGGTAACCATGTAGGGATTCTGAGTAGAGATGCCCCTGACCTTTGACAAATCTCCTATCAGTGCTTGGTACCAGCATGAGCTAACTTTATGCCTCAAATCAATAGGACAATTTGCTGAGGTCTGAGAGCACCCCCTCCAGAGAATCTCTGATCTCTCAAAATGTGGTCGAGATCATAAGTTTATTTTGCTGTACAACTCCTCTCTTTTTTTTTTTTTTTTTTTTTTTTGGAGTTTTATTCGCTTCCAACACAAGGAAAGCAAGTTTTTTCTGCTTCTTTGATGATGGAAGGCAGGTAACTCCTTTATGGAGTTTGAGCTCACTTCTAACAGGGAAGATGAGTTGTTGTTCTTTTCCCCTGCTTCTAGGATGGTAGAGAGCAGTCTTCAGCCTGAGACCCATTCCTTAGGTAAGTAACCGAATTGGGGTTTGTCTTGGCTAAAGTTAAGATTAACAACCAGCTGGTCTTAATTTCTCCTCATCATATTGTTGAGGTTTTTTGTTGTTGTTGTTTGTTCCCATCTAAAGTTGTTATCCTAATTCTAGTTCAGAGATGCATTTTAAAGGGTCTTCTTTATTGCGTTTTCTCCTAAATTTAATCTTAATTTGGTTTGTCTGTGTGTATTTGCATGAGGAACTGAACTGTTTTCATCTGTTAATAAGAGACTGAGTTTTCTCAGCTCCAAAGAGAAAGGGCATTTTGCTCCTTCCAGCTGAAAGGCACTCCTGGGTGACTGGGGGCCTTGTGAGAGTCTCTAGGGGGCTGACCCCCTGCTATGTGCAGCAGCCCTGCTGGGAGATCCCCAGCAAAAATTAATTTTAAAAATGGCTTGTTAGCCGGGTGCAGTGGCTCACGCCTGTAATCCCAGCACTCTGGGAGGCCGAGGAGAGTGGGATCATGAGGTCAGGAGATTGAGACCATCCTGGCTAACACGGTGAAACCCCGTCTCGACTAAAAATACAAAAAATTAGCTGGGTGTGGTGGCACGCACCTGTAGTCCCAGCTACTCGGGAGGCTGAGGCAGGAAAATCACTTGAACCTGGGAAGTGGAGGTTGCAGTGAGCCAAGATCGCGCCACTGCACTCCAGCCTGGGCAACAGAGTGAGACTCCGTCTCAAAAAAAAAAAGGCTTGTCCAGGAAATGTATATCAGGGCTGATGACACAGCATTCTGAGCCCTCTCCAAGGTCATAGACCTCTCGAGAGAGAAACTGAGACACGTAAAGGGATGGAAACGACTCAGTGGTGACAGACTCTGGAGTCCTGCCAACAAGCAGCACATGTCAATCTACCACACAAAAACCCTAGACCACAGCTCAGGTGCTCCTTTTAAGAAATAAAAAGAAGCGTGAAACAATCTAAAAATGAGGAGAAAACAAGGAGAATGACCCCCTTTTCAGCACTCCATAGATTTTATGGCACCTCTACTTGCCAAAGTTTATGTAAAATGAAAATAATAAGATCTTTGTGCACATTTATATTAAGGAAAAAGAGCCCTAAGGTTGACCTGCAAACTACAGAGTTCCTAAGTCCTCTTTTTCTCTGTCCTTTTCTGCCTGCTCTAAATCTGCTGTTATTTTTCTATTAAGACAAAACCATTGTTTAGATCCAACAAGTTCTTTTTGCAAGCCAGTAAATTTGTATTTATCTCATGGCTAAAAGCTCTGAAATAAAAGCTGCAGGGTGTGTGTGTGTGTGTGTGTGTGTGTGTGTGTGTGTGTGTGTGTGTGTGTGTGTATTTAAAAGGCCTTTATAATTTCTATAATCCAAATTTTTCTCTCTGCACCTTATAATGTAAATTTTACTATTTGACTTCCCTTAATATGCAAATTTAAGGCTATTTAGCTGACAACTGCCCAGGGTTGTAAAACAGGTTACCAAGAATCTGAAAGTCGAAGATAGGGAAAAAAAAAAGAAACCCCTCCCCGCCCCGCACCCCCCCACCCCCAGCCACTGCTCTGTCGCCCAGGCTGGAGTGCAGTGGCACAATCACGACTCACTGCAACCTCTGCCTCCCAGGTTTAAGAAATTCTCTGCCTCAGCCTCCCGAATAGCTGGGATTACAGGCACGTGCCACCACACCCGCTAATTTTTTTTGTGTGTGTGTTTTTAGTAGAGATGTGGTGTCACCATGTTGGCCAGGCTGGTCTTGAACTCCTGACCTCGTGATCCACCTGCCTCAGCCTCCCAAAGTGCTGGGATTACAGGTGTGAGCCACCACGCCCAGCCAAAAGCATTTTTATGAATCTGTAAAATGTGCTTCCATTGGCATGTCGAATATGTCTGTGTATTTATGTGTTATATACACAATGTTTTACTACTAAAATAATACATAAAAGAGCTCTAATTAATTGGCTTAAAAAAATTAAAGTGCTACTAAAAAAGAAAAGACTAGTCAAATGCTTTTTTAAATTTATGTAACTTAAGTAAAATCTTTAATGAATAAGCTAGCTTTAAAATTATTGGTAAAGTAATATTAGAAATGTCTTAATTGCCAGCATACAGCCTGGGTGTGGTGGCTCACACCTGTAATCTCTGCACTTTGGGAGGCCAAGGCATGCGGATCACCTGAGGTCAGAAGTTCGAGACCAGCCTGGCCAGCATGGTGAAACTCTATCTCTACTAAAAATACAAAAATTAGCTGGGCATGGTGGCAGGTGCCTGTAATTCCAGCTACTCAGGAGGCTGAGATAGGAGAATCACTTGAACCCAGGAGGCAGAGGTTGCAGTGAGCTGAGATTGCACCATTGCACTGCAGCCTGGGCAACAAGAGCAAAAATCCGTCTCAAAAAGAATTGCCAGCGTACATCTTTGTTTGCATTTATTAATCAAGCAATTTCATACTTATCCCTGCCAAACAATAGAAGGTGTCAAAACTTGGCACAGGGGTTATAGCAAAACTATAAACTGAGCCAAAAACAGAATGGTCTTTGCTTGTGTGATTTTTAATAAATAAGACATTTATATTGCTTTAATGAAAATATCTGCATCTTAAATTTAGTAAGATTTCCATAACTTCTGATCTTGTAGCTCTAGGCAACCTAGTCCACAGGCAATGAGGAGGTTTGTTTTGGGAAAGGACTGTTACCATCTTTGTTTCAAAGCTAAACTATAAACTAAGTTCCTCTTAAAGTTAGTTCAGCCTATATCCAGGAATGAACAAGGACAGCTTGGAGGTTAAGAGCAAGATGGAGTCAGTTAGGTCAAATCTTTTTTCACTGTCTCAGTTATAACTTTGCAATGGTGGTTTCATAACTTTAAATCATATCACAGTTTTCATAAATAATCTAAGTAAACAATTAAAATAATTAGGTAAATGTAATGGGATGAATACTTATAGATAAACTGGTCAGAATTTAGGATACAAAGTTAAGTAACAGAGATTTCATTATTTGGGTATTTTCCAATAAATATATATTGTAGGAAAACATTCTTGCTAAAAAAAAAAAAGTGTATCCTTTTTTTAAAAAGGTGTACAAGTTTTTTCTAATTCAAAGCTAACTTAAAGGTTATGTATGAAACAAGGTAAAAGGAACCAGAAAATAAAGAGATGTAAAGAAAGTTATAAAAATAAAGAGGTATTGGCCAGGCCCGGTGGCTCACACCTGTAATCCCAGCACTTTGGGAGGCTGAGGCAGGCAGATCATGAGGTCAGGAGATCGAGACCATCCTGGCTAACACAGTGAAACCCCGTCTCTACTAAAAATACAAAAAATTAGCCAGCCTGGTGGCAGGCACCTGTAGTCCCAGCTACTCGGGGGCTGAGGCAGGAGAATGGCATGAACCCAGGAGGCAGAGCTTGCAGTGAGCCAAGATTACGCCACTGCACTCCAGCCTGGGCGACAGAGCAAGACTCCTTCTCAAAAAATAAATAAATAAAAAATAATAAAAATAAAGAGGTATTTTTTGTGGTAAGAAAGCTTAAAGCGAAATAATTTTATATGAGAAAGAATCTCGTATGGTAAATTTAATCCTAAAATAAAATGGTTGTTTAAGAAGGAGGGATGTTCAGCACAAACCAGAAAGTCCAAGCGTGTCACAAATGGTCAGTGTAAGTCACAATAAGAGGATTTATATTGAAAAGCAAAAACTTTAATATGATCAAGTTGTCATCTTATTATTAAGTTTTGGTTCACTTAGGAAAAAAACTGAGATAAAAAAATTTTTCTTGGCTGGTGCATGGTTCACATCTCTAATCCCAGCACTTTGGGAGGCCAAGGTGGATGGATCATTTGAGGTCAGGAGTTTGTGACCAGCCTGGCCAACCTGGGAAAACCCCATCTCTACTAAAAATACAAAAATTAGTGGGGCGTGGTGGTGTGCGCCTGTAATCACAGCTACTCGGGAGGCTGAGGCAGGAGAATTGCTTGAGCCCAGGAGGCAGAGGTTGCAGTGAGCCAAGATCATGCCACTGCACTCTGGCCTGGGCAATAGAGTGAGATTCCATCTCAAAAACAAACAAACAAACAAACAAATCTTCTCAATTAAGGTTATTACATCCATGTATCTTCCTGTATGTGCTTTTAAAGTCCTTGTGACATTGAGTTACAGGGCTTTGATTCCTGAGTCTAAAAAAGACACCAAGTCCTGCTAAATCTTAAACACTGACAGCAATTAAAGCCTCATCTTTAGGCCCCATAGAAGATGCCAATCAAAGTAAACTGCATTCCTGAGACATAGGGCAAGAAATTGAAGTTATTCAACTCCTCAAGGCCCAGGGACTATTGTGGAAGAGGTAGGCACCTAAGATTATAAGCGCCAATTTTGAATGATAAAATAAGTTCAGTTTCTCTATAAATTAATCATTAATGTTAAAGGCACACTGATGCAAGACCAGCATATGGGCCTATGTCAGATTAACAAGGTTTTCTTGAAGCATTATCCAACTCCTTAATAAAGGTTATAAAGGCTATAAAAGGTTTATGGAAGTTATATCTTATGGTCAAGATTAAAATTTTATAGATTGTTTATAAAAGTTTGGTTTCATGCTGGTTTTTTTTTTGTTTGTTTGTTTGTTTTTTTTGACAGAGTCTCGATCTGTTGCCAGGCTAGAGTGCAGTGGCGTGATCTCGGCTCACTGCAACCTCCACCTCCTGGGTTCAAGTGATTCTCCTGCCTCAGCCTCCCGAGTAGCTGGGCCTACAGGTGCGCAGCACCACACTCAGGTAATTTTTGTATTTTTTTTTAGTAGTAGAGACCGGGTTTCACCATGTTGGCCAGGATGGTCTCTATCTCTTGACCTTGTGATCCTCCCGCCTCGGCCTCCCAAAGTGCTGGGATTACAGGTGTGAGCCACCACGCCTGGCCCATGCTGTTTTTATTAGGGCTTATTGTTTGGAAAATTTAGTTGTCTGTCTCAAAGAATAAAGGTTTTCTCCTTTTTTTTTTTTTTAATCCTTGAGTTATCACTTTGGTTAAATGAATGACTTATTTTACAATGACCTGTGATCCTATTTTGTGATATCAAGTGTTTAAAACCTTTGATATTTGACAAACTTTCCAAAATTGGATTATAAATTATGTCTTTTTTCTGACCTAATTAGTCCTTTAAGATATTTAGGTTCCCTAAAGTCCAAAAAAAACCATAATTTGGCTTATTTGATACAAAAATTATACAGGAAGCATTGTCAAATATGAAATGGTGTTGGGTTTTCTTTGAGCTATTTTTGTATAAATATGTTATTGGTATGTGTTCCAAAATTAGGGAAAACTATAATTAGGATATAATTTAGTGTACATTATCAGTAATAATCATAATTGTTATGTTAAAATTACAGTGTGCCACAGAAGTAACAAATTTCTTCATCAATTATGTCTTTGACTATGGTTGCCCTAAGACTTTGTCCATCCATGGACAATTGTCTTGTTTTGTTCTCTTTAGAAGGTGGTCTTATAATCAGCTATAAAACTATAATAGGTGCTCTTGAATGGAGGTTTCTGATAACTTTGGAGATTGTGACATTAGAATAGAAGAAAAACTTTCAGGACTCATGGAGAGCTAAAACGTTCATGAGTATCAAGCAGAACAGGAATTAACTGCCTGGACTGAACTAATCTTATTGACTTTTTGCTTAAAATGTTTGCTGATCCTTTGTTTTGTTTTTCAGAGCCTTAAAACTTTTCTTTTGAGCTATTGACAGCTTTTAACAGTTCAGTATAATTCTATGAACAAAATTTGGAGCATATTTGTTTCTCTCTACATAATTTCTCCAGAATTTGGAAACTATTTGTGAGTATTTTTAACTTATGGTAATATGGTTATTTGCATAAGTGTAATAAGAATCTGTTCTCATTTGTAACAGGACACAATTGGAGAAACTAGTTATTATACCAAGGCTTTGACTGGAATGGTGTGCTTTCCTTTAAGGAATCAAACTTGACTTATACAGTCAATAAAGCCTTTGGGAAACTGCCCTCATATTTTGTGTACACAGTCCATGTACAGGGTTTGTGACCTGTGGTAAATAAAGTATGTCACTTTCTGACAGGCACAGAAGCCCCAGGTTTATCTTGGAATGTCAACAGGAGAGGAAATTCACTCAACTCACAGGTATTTGATGACACATATCTATGGCTGGGCTTGGCTTTAAAAAGTCTTACCTGAGATTCCTCTTATGGAGGAAGTTCCACCAAAGCCAATTTAAAAGCCTGTGTAAAAAATAATTATTCTCGCTGCACTGTAGGCAAATAATTAGGCCAAGTGTAATAAAGCAAACCAGTTCTAGCATGATTTATCTTTAGTAAAAATGGGAAACTGGAGAAAAATTTTTTCAAAACTATAGTACACCTGTTGTTAGATTCTAGTCTTGCCTAATGTTTTTTCAATTTTTATTATTTTCTACAGTTTGAACCAAATTCTAATTTTTCTTGGCTACAAGTCTTCAAAATAATATTTTCAGGTTTTTTCTTTTTTTTCCATTTTGCCCAATTTGGAGTCACTGAAAACTCAGCTGTGCTTTCTTAAAGCCCTGTGAACTGAAGCTAAACAACTCAAACCTCAGAAGAAAATAACAGTAACCTATTTACATACATAAGCCACTTTCATACCTGCCTACTAATGTATGAACTTTAGAGTAATGTGGCCTATCTCAATTTTTCCAGGATTGTTCTTTTGTTTGTTGTTGTTTTTCTCCCTTCCTCCCCGCATTTTCTCTTTATAGGACATGAGACTTCACAACCTGCTAAAAATGGGCTTTTGAGGCCTACCCGTCTAGGAATAAACTGTCCTTGCCATGAGAGATCAGATGAAACCTGAGACCAGAGATTCACTTTCTTCTAAAATGCTTTCTCCAAAAGATTTTTAAAAAGAAAAGGGGGGAAATGTGAAAGGAAAATATCTTGGCCCCCTCAAGCTGGGAACCACTCAGGGCAAACCTGTCGCCCATTCTATTCAAAGTCATCCCTCTGCTCACAGAGATAGACGCATATTCTGATTGCCTCCTTTGAAAAGACTGATCAGAAACTCAAAAGAATCTCCCATAGATCTGTGACCTGGAAACCTGGGGGTGCGAGGGACGGGGTGGGGCGAGGGTTGCTTTGAGTTGTCCCCGCCTTTCTGGACGGAACTAATGTACTACTTACATATATTGATTGATGTCTCATGTCTCCGTAAAATGTATAAACACATGCCTGTGCCCCGACCACCTTGGACACATGTCATCAGGACTTCCTGAGGCTGTGTCACGGGCCCGTCCTCAACCTTGGCAAAATAAATTTTCTAAATTAACTGAGACTCGTGCAGATTTTCTGGGTTCACTCCATGTACAAGCTGCTTAAAGTCTCCTTGGGAAATGGAACCTTATTTTACGAGGAGCCAAGCACTCATTTCAACCCTGCTGCACTAGATTAGGGCCATTTGCCTAAAGTGCCACTCTCTTGTGTGTGCCCATGCACAAAGGACTCCCTAGGTTCTGTTGGGTGTTTTGTTTTGCCTGTGCAATGCCCACACCTGTAACCCCATCTCCACCCTCTTTGATACCTGAGGAAACAAAGCCATTTCCAGTGTCCTCTCTCAAACCTGTCTGACAAAGATGGGTTTTTCATCAGACAGGTTCTTCCTCAGACAGGTTCTTCCAGCTCAGGACCTTAGGTAGAGCACCCAGTTGCACTTCTTGCTTTCATATGCAATGGCACTGAGATTCATAAAATAAACCTTTATTTATTTTGAATGTTTAAGTTGCTTTCATTTTTCTATATGCACCACATAGGAAAAAAAAGTAGACTATAAAAATAAGCAAGAAGAATCCAAGCTATCACAGAAGCCCAGCCCACATAACATTACTGCTAACTTTTTGGCATCCATCCAAGCCTTCTTCCTATGCTAATATTTTATCAGAATCAAAATTAGGATCATCCAGTTGACAGCATTATAACTTTTTTTTTAATTTAGCAAGAATAGCCAGGTGCAGTGGCTCACACCTGTAATCCCAGCACTTTGGGAGGCCAAGGTGGGCGGATCACGAGGTCAGGAGATCAAGACCATCCTGGCTAACGTGGCAAAACCCCTTCTCTCCTAAAAGTAAAAAAAAAAATCAGCTGGGTGTGGTGGCACACACCTGTAGTTCCAGCTACTCAGGAGGGCGAGACAGGAGAATCGCTTGAACCCGGGAGGCGGAGGTTGCAGTGAGCCAAGATCGCACCACTGCACTCCAGCTTGGGTGACAGAGCGAGACTCGGTCTCAAAAAAAAATTTAGTAAGAATATCCAGCAGACACCTTAGTCAAATATATTTGGACACCATGACTTTCAGTGGCACCTAGCATTTATGAATTCAGTTTGCAGTGTTACTGAAGCCCCAGTCGCTTTCTGTCACAGTGCTGTTTTCTTCAACACCAGAAACATAATGCTGAGTGGGTGAATGGTGCGTGGCAGAGTGTTTTGAAGCAGGTGACAAACAGCTGTGCATCTCTCTGCCAGGATAAGAGACTGCCTCACCCTGTCCCTCTAAACAGGACACATTCTTTTTTAAAAAATAAGCCGCCAGAGGCTCACACCTGTAATCCCAGCACTTTGGGAGGCCGAGGCGGGCAGATCGTGAAGTCAGGAGATCGAGACCATCCTGGCTAACACGGTGAAACCCTATCTCTACTAAAAATACAACAAATTAGCTGGGCATTGTGGCAGGCTTCTGTAGTCCCAGCTACTGGGGAGGCTGAGGCAGGAGAATGGTGTGAACCCAGGAGGCGGAGCTTGCAGTGAGCCAAGATAGCACCACTGCACTCCAGCCTGGGTGACAGAGCGAGACTCCATTTCAAAAAAAAATAAATCAATCAAAAATAAATAAAATTTAAAAAATTAAAAAAATAAGCCACCAGAACAAGCCACAGATACTAAGTGCTCAGCAGTAGTCCATCAGACACATTTACCTTGTGGTAATCTGCTGTTCCAAATGTCTAAAAGTGCATTTTAACATGACTGAAATCACACTACAATAACTATTAATATTTTATAAACTGTCTTTTTCCATAAACCAAGAAGATCTTTCCCTGGCAGTAAACATGACTTCAAAGGCTCATTTTTTTAAAATGGCACAAAATTAATAGAATATTGATAACTGTTGAAGCAGAGCAATGGGTACATGAAGGCTCATTGAAGTATTCTCTGTTGTGCCTGTTTGAAATGTCCCATAATAATTTCTTTTTTTTTTTTTGAGACAGAGTCTCGCTCTGTCGCCCAGGCTGGAGTGCAGTGGCGCGATCTCAGCTCACTGCAAGCTCTGCCTCCTGGGTTCACACCATTCTCCTGCCTCAGCCTCCCGAGTAGCTGGGACTACAGGTGCCGACCACCACAGCTGGCTAAGTTTTTGTATTTTTTAGTAGAGACGGGGTTTCACCTTGTTAGCCAGGATGGTCTCGATCTCCTGACCTTGTGATCCGCCCGATTTGGCTTCCCAAAGTGCTGGGATTACAGGTGTGAGCCACCGCGCCCACCATAATTTTTTAATAGGATATAGTTTGCTTTTACATTGCCTCTTTTGTTTTCTGAGACCACACCCCAGGGTCAGGGAGATTAAGGAATCCTCAAATTCAGTAGTTGAGTGGCAGTATTCTTCCCCAAGCTGTCACTTGGAGGAGAAAACCAATCACAAGGTATGGAGCTGGTGTTTCTCACTCTAGAAAAACGATTGTACAATCAGCAGGGCAGGGCAAAGAGAGGATGCAGAGGTGAAACTAGTTATTCTGTGTAGCTGCCCAGGTCTCTTCCTGGCAGGAGCCACAGTTGCTCACTTTCTTCTGCCTCCTGAGCCAGCCCAGGCTTCAGATGCCATGACCTGTCATTAGCACCTGGGCCCTCTGGAAGGAGCTACCCTCTGCACCCACTGGAGGCAGGCCATGGGTGACCCAAGGATGCTCGGGAATGGGGATCAGGTGGAAAAGACATTCCCAGGGAACACTTTTCACCTCCTGCTACCTAAGGCACTCTTTGCCTCCAGTGACTCTGTGGTTGCAAAGCTAACCCAGACATGCTGAGTGAGGGAGGGGTGCTTGCAAACAAGACTGGGCTGAGGAGTGGGTCTGGAGGTGAATTAAGCAAACATGCGCCCTGTTCTAGGCACAGGGGTCTTTCTGGCTGTGATTCGGCTGAACTGATTTGATATAGGACAGGCTGGCAAAGATGAAGAAAAAGAGGATTGATAATTTACATAGAGAACTAAACCTCTGGCCATATAGGTTTCTCTCTCTCTCTCTCTCTCTCTTCCCCGCCACCCCCCTCCCCTGCCCGTCACTTGCTTACTTGCACAGTATTCAAAAATCAAAATGACAAACTTATTATATTGGATTTAAAACCAGAGTTAATACCTGCTAACTGTTAAAAATTGGGAGCTATTTCACCTAAGACACTGTATTTTGGGCTTGTTTAAAAGCATCTGGAGATCTGCCTTCCAACCTGCTGGCTGTAGGGGCCGACCAGGACATCACCCCTGCTTCCTCCCTGTCCACCCCTTCATCCCTCAGGCCTGGCCCTGGGAATCTGAGCTCAGGACCGTTGGTTATACACCCACAGAATGTCAGTGGATCATTTAGCCCAAAGATTTCCAAACTGGGGGTTTCAACCCATTGGTGGCTCTTGAAATCACTTTCGTGGGTTTCAACCCGTACTTTATTTTTAATGACTTGCCTTGTCTCAGATGAGACTTTGGACTGTGGACTTTTGAGTTAATGCTGAAATGAGTTAGGACTTTGGGGGACTATTGGGAAGGCATGATTTGTTTTGAAATGTGAGGACATGAGATTTGCAGGGGCCAGGGGCGGAATGATATGGTTTGGCTCTGTGTCCCCACCCAAATCTCATGTTGAATTGTACTCCCATAATTCCCAAGTGTTATGGGAGGAATGTGGTGGGAGATAATTGAATCATGGGGGCAGTTCCCCCATACTGTTCTCATGTCAATGAATAAGTCTCACGAGATCTGATGGTTATA
Organism: Homo sapiens; assembly: GCF_000001405.40. Lineage (NCBI taxonomy): Eukaryota > Metazoa > Chordata > Mammalia > Primates > Hominidae > Homo > Homo sapiens. The sequence goes on along the minus strand of NC_000014.9, from coordinate 69,736,309 downwards.
TAAGGCGTTTCCGCTTTTACATCTTCCTTATTCTCTCTTTGCCTGCTGCCATCCATGTAAGATGAGACTTGCTCCTCCTTGCCTTCCACCATGATTGTGAGGCTTCCCCAGCCATGTGGAACTGTAAGTCCTATTAAACCTCTTTCTTTTGTAAATTGCCTAGTCTCAGGTATGTCTTTATCAGCAGTGTGGAAACAGACGAATATAGAATGAAACAAATAATAAAATGGCCAGAAAAGGCCAGGCACAATGGCTCATACCCGTAATTCCAGCACTTTGGGAGGCCAAGGTGGGCAGATCACTTGAGGCCAGTAGTTTGAGACCAGTCTGGGCAACATGAGACCCCTTGTCTCTATAAAAAATAGAAAAAAATTAGCCAGGCATGGTGGTGGCACCTGTAGTCCCACCTACTCAGGAGGCTGAGGTGGAAGGATCACTTGAGACCAGGAGGTTGAAACTGCAGTGAGGTATAATTGTTCAACTGCATTCCAGCCTGGGCAACAGAGCAAGACTCTGTCTCAAAAGAAAAAAAAAAAAGACCAGAAAATAAATAGGCAGTGAAGTTTTTCTTGTATTAAACTTTGTATAAACAACCATCCAAGGCTGGGCGCAGTAATCCTAGCACTTTGGGAGGCCAAGACTGGCAGATCACCTGAGGTCAGGAGTTTGAGACCAGCCTGGCCAACATGGTGAAACTCCGTCTCTACTAAAAATACAAAATTAGCTGGGCATGGTGGTGCATGCCTGTAATCCCAGCCACTTGGGAGGCTGAGGCAGGAGAATTGCTTGAACCTAGGAAGTGGAGGTTGCAGTGAGCCAAGATCATGCCATTGCACTCCAGCCTGGGCGACAAGAGCAAAACTCCATCTAAAAAGAAAAAACAACCTTCCAAGCAAAATTCAAAATAAAACATAAAATAAATATTACAATACAGAAATAAATAATGAGTTAAATATTTGTTAATTACATTAATTTTTTTGTTTTGTTTTGTTTTTTTACAAAAGAGGGGAAAACAGCCAGGCCTGGTGGTTCACACCTGTAATCCCAGCACTTTGGGAGGCAAAGTAGGAAAACAAAGTAGGGAGACAAAGGCAGGAAGACTGCTTGAGCCCAGGAGTTTGAGACCAGCCTTGGCAACATGGTGAGACCCCCCATTTCTACAAAAAATACAAAAATTAGCCAGGCATGATGGCATGTGCCTGTAGTCTCAGCTACTCAAGTGGCTGAGACACGAGAATTGCTCGAACCCAGAGGGTGGAGATTGCAGTGAGCCAAGAGCATGCCACTACACTCCAGCCTGGGAGACAGAGCAAGACTCCGTCTCAAATAAATAAATAAATAAAAGATAACTAATAAAAATGAGCTAGTCTGAAGCTTACCTATATTTTATTAAAATTCAGTGGTAATGGCAGCAATTGCTTAGAACTTAGCCTGACAATGGAGTTCTTCCAGGGAGAAGTCCTTTATCACTGCCATTGTTCAGAATTGCCAGCACAAGGTGTTGCTAAAAGGCAGGGTGACTTTTAGTCAGTTTTGTTACTGTTTGTGAATTCCCTGCAGACAGTGCACTCTGATTGTCTACTGACCCACAAGTCATGCAGCTATCAAGGCCTATGGGGATCAGCCCAGGTCTTGCAACTTCAAGGCTAGTGCCTGCTTTGTCCTAGGTCAGCCATGGGGATTGACCTAAGTAGACCCAGCTCAGGTCAAAACCTCATGACTAGAAAGAGGCTGGAGTTGACTTTACCCAGGCATCTGCATCTTCTGCTTGTCCACCTTCACACAGAGGTCATTGCTTCCCCTCCTCTTTGGCAGACTCAACACCTTTTCCTTCTTGTACGTTTCTGCTGCGAGGAAGGCTGGTCTGACTCGCTCCCCAAACCGCTGCCCCTTCCCCTGTGCCCTTGCCCTCTCTCTGCCTCTTTCTCTTTCTGCAGCTCCAGGAGGAACTTCCTACCATCCTTGGTTCCCTTTCTTCTCACATGTTCGTAAAACCAGAATAATGAGGTTCATGAGGAGGATGCAAAGGACTACCATGCCCGGCACATAATAGGGACTCAGCAAATGATTGGTTACCACCCAGGGGATAGCCACTGAGTGCCTACTGTATACCAAGCACTTCTTGGTCCTTCATGCTCCCCTGGCCACCTGCTTTGGCCATCCTCATCCCAGGGTAGAGTGGGGTCAGTTGAGATGCACTGCCCCTTATGGAGGTTTTTCTAGGCAACTAAGGGAGAAAGGGGTTTCCAAGACAGCACTGACAGCCAGCCACTGCCTCTTCTCAGGGGACTGTCAGACCAACTCCTCAAAGGAATCCACCGGTGTAGTAGAAGAGACTAATAAACAGGCACTTATGTTTCCAGTTTTACCATCTAATGTCAATAAAATCCATAAGCATCTGTTGAGACAATACTGGCAGATTTATTAAGCATCTACTATGTGCAAGTCACACTCTAGAGATCACTTTTTCAGACTGGCCCCTTCAGTTCCTTTCCTAAGAGAAACCTGTTGCCCTCCCCTCTTATCTACCCAGTGCCCACAGGGCATTGTGGGCAGATCCAGACTACAGTGAGGTGCTCTGCCTCTCACACCTGTACGCAGGAAGGGGTCAGAGGCCACCTCTCTCTAACCTTCAGGGAGTGTCACCCCCTGTAAATACCCAGCACACGGTTCTCAACTGGACCTGTATGTATGGATCTCCTAAGAGCTGCATGCCTCCATCCAGCTTTCAACTATGAACATTTCCCAACACCCTGAAGAGCTGAAAGAACAGTACAATAAACACGCTCCACTTAGATTCAGCAATTGTTACCCATTTGGCACGTTAGCTTTAATGACTGTGTATGTATGTGTGCGTGCACGTGTGTGTTTGGCTAAACAGTTTAACAGTCAGTCGCATTATCATGACACTTCACCCCTCAACACTTTAGCGTGTGTCTCCCAAATATAAAGACACTCTCCTACATAACCACAACACCATTATCACACGCAAGAAAATTAACAACGATTCTTTAACATCCCATCATATCATATGCATATTCAAATTTCCCCTATTGTCATATTCAAATTTCCCAAAAAATGCCTTCAAGAATTGCTTTTCCCCCTAATGCAGGAGCCAATTGAGTTGCACACACTACATCTGTTTGTTTGTGCCTCTTTAGGTGCTACCTGTTAGCTGCTTCCTTGGAGAACGAGTAGGATCCAAGGGCTTCCAGTCCCGCCCCCATCACACCCCTTCCCTCTCCACACACCCCAGTATGCTTTCTTATTTGTTTTGGCTGCCGTTAATTTCTAAAATATTAAACAGGGCTGGGCACTGTGGCTTATGCCTGTAATCCCAGCACTTTGGGAGCTTGAGGCAGCTGGATCACTCAAGGTCAGGAGTTCAGGACCAGCCTGGCCAACATGGTGAAACGCTGTCTCTACTAAAAATACAAAAATTAGTGGGGCATGGTGGTGCATGCCTGTAATCCCAGCTACTCAGAAGGCTGAGGCAGGAGAATCACTTGAGGTGGAGGTTGCAGTGAGCCAAGATCACACCACTGCACTCCAGCCTGGGCAACAAAGTGAGACTCCATCTCAAAAAATGAAATAAAATAAGCCAGGCATGGTGGTTCATGCCTGTAATCTGAGCACTTTAGGAGGCTGAGGTGTGCGATCACCTAAAGTCAGGAGTTCAAGACCCGCCTGGCCAACATGGTGAAACCCCGTCTCTACTAAAAATACAAAAATTAGCCAGGCATGGTGGCAGGTTCCTGTAATCTCAGCTACTCAGGAGGCTGAGGTAGGAGAATCACTTGAACCCAGGAGACGGAGGTTGCAGTGAGCCAAGATCGCACCATTGCACTCCAGCCTGGGAGACAGAGCAAGACTCTGTCTCACAAAATAAATAAAAATTAAAATAAATAAATAAATATAAATAAAATAAAATATTAAATGTATTGATATTTAAATGAATGCCAAAATCTCTTTCCAAAAGTAAATAATAAAATCTGGAGATATTCTAAGATTTTGCATTTTCTCTCTAGGTGATCTAGTTCTCAACTAACTTCTGCTACTAAACAGCAATGTGACCTTGGCAAGTCCTTGGTGACATTCAGTAAATACTGGATGGATGGATGGATGGATGGGTGGATGGATGGATGGATGGATGGGTGGATGGATGGATGGATGGATGGATGGATGGATGGATGGATGGGTGGATGGATGGATGGATGGGTGGATGGATGGATAGATGGATGGATGGATGGACCAAAGCATTTGTCTGTTTCATCACTCTGGATTGATTATCTCTGTAAAAACAAGCAAGTCAGGCTGGACGCGGTGGCTCACGCCAGTAATCCCAGCACTTTGGGAGGCCAAGGCGGCCAGATCACGAGGTCGGGAGTTCAAGACCAACCTGGCCAATGTGGTGAAACTCTGTCTCTACTAAAAATACAAAAAATTAGCTGGGCGTGGTGGCGGGCACCTGTAATCCCAGGTACTCGGGAGGCTGAGGCAGAAGAATTGCTTGAACCCAGGAGGCAGAGGTTACGGTGAGCCAAGATTGCACCATGGCACTCCAGCCTGGGCAACAGAGGGAGACTCTGTCTTAAAAAAAAAAAAAAAAGAAAGAAAAAAACAAGCAAGTCAGAGGATCCAGTTCAGATCTCACATTCTGCTGTTATAAGGTTCTGGTCCTGGTACACACACACACACACACACACACACACACACACACACACACACACAGGGTATTGGCTATGGACCTCTCATCTTTCATTGAAAACCCCCCATTCCTTCTTTTTCTTACTGGAATCTTGTGTTCTTGTCCAGGTAGTTGGGTAGACTGAACTCCAAACTGTGTGCTTACTGCACCACCTGGTGAAAGAGTTGCAGTATCTGCAGTTTTTATCTACTCCAGTGAGTGGACGAGGCCACAGATGTCAGAAAGCTCTCCCCGTATTCTGAAACAAGGGCCGTCCTTCACTACCAGATCCCTTTTCAGTGCCTGACCATTTTATGAACCCAAATCTGTTTCTAACCTTCACCAGCATTTTGATTTTAATTTGGAAGAGGACCATGTGCCTGAGCATCAAACCATTCAAATGGAGCAAATAAGAACAGAGCTTGGCATGAAAACGAAAGAAAGACATGAAAAATCCATTTGGCACATGTTTATGATAGGAGCATAGGGCAAGCAACAACTGACAAACTTCAGGGAGAAATAGGTAAGTCAACAATTGTAGTTTGAAATATTACCAGACTCTTCTATGGTCAAGCAGAGGTGTTAAAAATAGGGGCAATATACTTAATAAGATTGAGCTATTAGCTCTATATAGCACTTTATACTTGGGGATAAAGAATATGCATTCTTTTTGAGATATTCAACATTTAAAACAATTTGGTAAGCTATAATGGAAGCCTTTACAAATTCCAAAGGATCCTTATTATTCAGACTATATTATTTGATAATAATGCAATATAATTAGAAATTTATAACAAAAGTCAAATTTTTTAAAATTTCAGGACAGACAGGCCAATGCCTATAAATTTTGGAGGAGGAGAGAAATAATGAATAACTTCAATTTTTTTAAGAAAAAGCTGGGTGATGTAGGGGCGGAAAGGGGATGATTTCTTTTCTCCTCATTATAAAGAATCACAGAAGGCCGGGCGCAGTGGCTCATGCCTGTAATCCCAGCACTTTGGGAGGCTGAGGCGGGTGGATCACCTGAAGATGGGAGTTGGAGACCAGCCTGACCAACATGGAGAAACCTCGTCTCTACTAAAAATACAAAATTAGCCGGGCATGGTGGCGCATGCCTGTAATCCCAGCTACTTGGGAGGCTGAGGCAGGAGAATCACTTGAACCAGGGAGGCGGAGGTTGCAGTGAGCCGAGATCGCGCCATTGCACTCCAGCCTGAGCAACAAGAGTGAAACTCAGTCTCAAAAAAAAAAAAAAAAAAAAAGAATCACAGGAGACACTCCTATAATGAAACACAGAATAACAACAGAAAACACATGCATGGGAGTCTACAAATATGAAAACTCAAGTACAGGGCCAAAGGACTGACACTTAAATACCCTCTTCATTAGGGAGAGGGAAGTGCGGAGTGTAAGAATAAATGATTTTCAGGGGAAATGAATGGACCTGGAAAACAGAAATTAACTTGTAAATAATTCTCTTTGGAATTTGGATGCGCACAAGAGGCAGACATCATCTTGTGAAAAAAGCTGGGCGTAGTGGCTCAAGCCTGTAATCCCAGCACTTTGGGAGGTTGAGGTGAGAGGATTGCGTGAGTCCAGGAGTTCAAGAATAGCCTGGGCAACATGGGGAGACGCCGTCTCCAAGAAATATCAAAAATTAGGCATGGTGGCACACTCTTATATTCCCAGCTACTCAGGAAGCTGAGGCAGGAGGCTCACTTGAGCCTGGGAGGTTGAGGCTGCATGAGCCATGTTTGGCCACTTTACTCCAGCCTGGGTGACAGAGTGAGACCTTGTCTCAAAAAATAAATTAAATAAATAAATGTCTTGGGAAAAAGTTCATCCAGGTGTGGTTACATTCTTCAGTCTTGCTTTTCTGAGATAATGAGATTTCAGGGAGAGGACGGAAGGCAATTGTGGTCCTATTTCGGGGTCTGGTTTCTAGGTAGATAAGAGAACTTCATTAAAAATTTTTTCTTAAACTTTATCAACTCCCAAGCACCTGGAAACTTCAGAAAATAGCCTCATTCTGTGCTTTGAGAGAAACAAAGAATTCAGAAACAGGAGTTGGGGGAAGGTCAAAGAGATCATGAGCCTGCTTCTTTAGTCCAGCATGTCAAAGAACCATTGGGATACCAGTTTCTGAGTCCCAACATTGACTTCCAAAAGAATCAAAATACAATCTTACGGATTTCGTCCAATGGAAAAATAGAAATTGTAGAAAATTGATAACATTTTTAATCCAAAAGAAGATAGGAAAAAGTAAAAAGAAGAAAATAAAGAGCTCATACAAAATAAAATGGTAGATCCAAATGTATTCATAACTATAAGAAAGATAAACATATTTGTCAGAGGCGTTCAAACCAGAATGACTCCATCTTGAATAGGGGCTGGGTAAAATAAGGCTGAGACCTACTGGACTGCATCCCCAGATGGTTAGGCATTCTAAGTCACAGGATGAGACAGGAGGTCACAAGATATAGGTCACAAAAACCACACTGATAAGACAGGATGCAGTAAAGAAGCCAGCTAAACCAGCTACTCAGGAGGCTGAGGCAGGAGAATCGCTTGAACCCGGGAGGCAGAGGTTGCAGTGAGCCGAGATTGGGCCATTGCACTCCAGCCTGGGCAACAAGAGCGAAACTCCATCTCAAAAAAAAAAAAAAGAAGAAGAAGAAGCCGGATAAAACCCACCAAAACCAAGATGATGACGAAGGTGACCTCTGGTCATCCTCATTGCTCATTATACATTAATTATAATGCATTGCCTTGTTAAAAGACACTCCCACTAACACCATGACCATTTACAAATGCGATGGCAATGTCCAGAAGTTACCCTATATGGTGTAAAAGGAAGAGGAACCCTCAGTTCCAGGAATTCCCACCCCTTTCCTGGAAATCTAATGAATAATCCACCCCTTGTTTGGCATATAATCAAGAAATAACTATAAATATACTCAGTCGAGCAGCCCATGCCACTGCTCTGTCTATACAGTAGTCGTTCTTTTATTCCTTTACGTTCTTCATAAACTTGCTTTCACTTTACTCTGTGGACAGGCCCTGAATTCTTTCTTGCGGGAGATCCAAGAATCCTCTCTTGGGGTCTGGATTGGGAGCCAATAACATATTTAACTCAGATATTAAAGGACAGAACGTATCAGATCAGATCACAGTTCTACACTGTCTCAAAAAATAATAATAATTTTTATTTATAAGGTAGGATATTCTATGGACCTCTGTTTCATGGGTCTCTGCCTGTTGCACCGTCTCCACCCCTGGTAATTATGACACCTAGCACATGCTTTAAAACCTTCTCGGTTGCCCACCTACAAGATACTTCAAACCAAGAGAATGGCTCTCGAAGCCCTTCACCATAGAGCCACAGTCTCCAGGTCTGGACCATTTGACAGCACCTTTCCCCCACACCCTCCCTTCCAACCACACCTGGCTCCCAAACTCCCCAACCTCACGGCCCCACTCACAACTGGGCATTGCCCACCTGTTAGCTCTGCCTAGAAGGCCTCTCCCCCTGGCCCATCTCTTCTGCCTGGCAACCAAACTACTATTGGTTCAAGACCCAGCTCCAACAGCACTTGCTCTGTAAAGCACTAGCCAACTGCTCTGCACCCCCTTCCCCGCTGCGTGGTCTCCCTGCATCATTCCTGCAGCCCTTCTTTCCTCTCTCCTGCCCTTCCTCCATCCTTCCTTCCTAATTCAATGAAATACAGGGCCTCTGGGCCGGCCCTGCTAGGCACTGAGGAGTCAAGGTTGAAGGGGGACAGAGATCGGTAATGACACTATTAGTGCCAGTCGTGAGAACCTCAAGGACAGAGCAGCTCCATGTGCCCAGCCCTCAGCACCAGCCTGGCGCCTTACAGGTGCTCGAAGGACATCTGTTGAGCGGAAAGATTCTTTGGAGGGTGTCCTAACCTCTGGTTCCTGTGAATGTGATCTTATGTGGAAATAGGATGTGATCAGGTTAAGATGAATCCTACTGGATTGGGTGGGCTCTAATCCTATAACCCGTGTTCTTATAGGAGGGAGATGTGGGCCTGGACGTACAGGAAGACAGAGACTGGAGTGAGGCATCTGTAAGCAAACGCACAACAAGAAGTGCGGGCAGCCGCCAAAAGCTAGAAAGAGGCCAGGAAAGACTCTCTCTAGAGCCTGCGGAGGGGGCACGGCCCTGCCCACGCCTTGATTTCAGACTTCTGGCCTCCAGAACTGTGAGAGAAGACACCTCTGCTGCCTTAAGCCACCCAGTTAGTGGTAATTTGTTACGGCAGCTCTAGGAAACAGAATACAGAGTCCAAGCAGGAGTCAGTTTCTCATAGACTCCTAGGTCGCATCCCCTACCCGCTGGAGGCCCTGGCTGTCACACCCCCGACTCTCCGCTGACCCCCGCTTTGCATAACCTGGAAGCTAACTCACCACACGCCCAAGCGTCCCCTCCAGCCGCAGAGGGCCGCCTCCTCATTCGACACTAGATGGCGCCAGCGGGCTGAGCCGGCCCGGCTTCGTGGGATCCTGGTGGGTGGGGTGAGTCGCCCGCGGGCCGAGACCACAAATCCAAGGTGAAGATCAGACATCCAACTTCTTCGAGTTCTTCCCAGGGAAAGTGGCTTTTTTTCCGTTCAGAGGGAGGAAATCGGACCCTCCGCCCTGCCCGCCCGGCGCGCCCTTGCGGCCTCAGGTCTGAGCCGCCCGTGGCGCTTCCTCCGGCCTCTGCTGCAGGCCCGGGCGCTGCTGAGCCTGCGTGGGGGCGCGCAGGCGGACCGCGAGGGCGTCGAGCACCCTGGCCTGCGCAGGCAGAAGGATATGCCCTTGTGCTGTGGGCTGAGCCGAAGCTGGGGCTTTCCGGGCGTGGGGACGGCTGCCTGCCAAAGGGCATGGCAGCAGGGAAAGAAGACGGGGTGGATCCACTCCTCTTCGTGGACCCTGTATTTTCTTCTTTTTTTTTCAATTTTAAAATTTTGCATCATTAGTTTTGTTTTGGTTTTTTGTTTGCTTGTTTTGAGACAGGGTGTCACTCTGGCGCCTAGGCTGGAGTGCAGTGGCGCAAACACTGCTCTCTGCAGCCTCGATCTCCTGGGCTCAGGTGATCCTCCCACCGCAGCCTCCATACTCCATCCCAGGAATGAAAAACTAGGCCTGCAACAGACCTGGCAGAGCCGTGGGCATGGTGCCTCCAAGATCTGGCCATGGAGAAAAATGAGAGGGTTTTAAATTACTGCCTCTCACAGGTGGGCTATACTCTGGTCCTTCAAGTTCCCTTACGTCTTCCTGTGGGAGACACACCACTTCCATTTCACCCCAGAAGCAATTTCCTGAAACAGGCTTTGGTCCTCCCCTCTGAACAAGTGTGATGGACCCTGCTCCGCATCCTGGTCACAGTCCACAGACCCATGTGTCCCAGCCCTCTGCACAGGTTCCCTGCACACTCTTTTCCAAATCAAAGCAATTTGTTCATTCCTCTGTCCTTCCCGCCTTTCTTCTCCTTGCTATGCATAGACATAAGCAGACTTTTTGACTCCTTTGTCTGTTTCTCATTCCTTTCCATGCAGTCCGCCACAAAGCTCAAGACCCCTTCGCCTGAATGATTTTCCCAAATACATGAGCAATTCTGTCAACTCTTCCTAGCTAAGTCAAGCCCACCTTGTGCTCTCATCATCTGAGGGCTAATGAACATCTTTTACCAGATGCCTACAGTGGTCTTTCCAGTTAGTGTCCACTCCAATCCATTGTCCATCAAGTTCTTTCCCGTTATGTTACACTGACAGCACACCATTCTTCTCTTCAGTATCCTTCAACGGCTCCCATTTGCCTATGGAATCACATCCATATCCTTAGTATGGCATTCAAAGTCCTGCCCCACTGGGTGTTTTCTTCCCTTTCTCACTAGTTCCCTCACCAGCCCCTTCCATGCTGGCTGCCTGCCCATTCTCTGGATGTGTTCCTTTTTTTTTTTTTTTTTTGAGACAGAGTCTCACTCTGTCACCCAGGCTGGAATGCAGTGGCGCCATCTCAGCTCACTGTAACTTCTGCCTCCCAGATTCAAGTGATTCTTCTGCCTCACCCTCCCGAGTAGCTGAAACTACAGGCATGAGCCACCATGCTGGGCTAATTTTTGTATTTTTAGTAGAGATGGGGTTTCATCATGTTGGCTAGGCTGGTCTCAAACTTCTGACCTCAAGTGATCCACCCACCTCAGCCTCCCAAAGTGCTGGGATTACAGGCATGAGCCACCGCACCTGGCCTGGATGGGTTCTTGTTGTGGGAAGAAGCCCTGGTCCAGCTCCCACTTCTGAGACTGAATGTATGGGTTTGCTAGGGCTGCCTTTACAATCTTCCATAGACCGGGCAGCCTGAACAGTCCATAGACTATCGTTTAAACAACAAACGTTTATGTTCTTAGATTCTGGAGGCTGGAAGTCCAATATCAGGATGTCATCAAGTTTGGTTCATCCCCAGGCCTGTGAGGGCAAAATCTGTTCCAAAACTCTCCTTGGCTTATACAAGGCTGTCTTCTCCCTGTGTCTTCACATCTTCTTCCATTTCCTCTTCTTGTAGGGACACCAGTTATATTGCATTAGGGCCATCATAGTGACCTTATTTTAACTTAATTCCCTCTTTAAAGACCCTATCTCCAAATATGATCACATTCTGAGGGACTGAGAGTTAGGATTTCAACACTCCAACATATGAACAGGGGGAAGGGGGCACAATTCCATCCATAATACTGAAAGTCCCAACAAATAATTTTATTTTTCCGGGTTAAGTAGATGAAAATAGCAGGCAATGAGAATTGTTTATTGTTCTTAAGCAAGGCCCTGCAGGGAGCTGTGCGACCTGTCCCAGAAGGCAGATTACTAATTTGTAACAAGAGATCAGATAAATTTTTAAAATTTCTTGTTAATTTATTCCTTCTATTCCTTCTGTGTCTAGGTAGCATGCCATTTTGTTTTGTTTTGTTCTGAGACAGGATCTCTGTCACCCAGACTGAAGTGCAGTGGCATAAACACAGATCACTGCAGCCTCAACCTCCTGGGCTCAAGCAATTCTTCCACCTCAGCCTCCCAAGTAGCTGGGACCACAGGTGTGCACCACCATGACCAGCTCATTTTTTAAATTTTTGGTAGAGATGAGGGTCTCACCATGTTGCCCAGGCTGGTCTTGAATTCCTGGGTTCAAGAGATTCTCCTGCCTCAGCCTCCCATGGTGTTGGGATTACAGGCATGAGCCACTGTGCCCAGTGCATTTCACTTTTTAATATATAATTTTAGTTTAATTAATTTATTAAACAGGTAATACATGCACTTGCTTCAAAATTCTGAAGTACAGAAGGGTGTAGAAGATTCTTCCTCCCATGTCACTCTCCCAAGCACCAGAACCTCTCTCCAGAGTCACCCAGTGGTCTCAATGTCTGGGGTGTATTTACAGAGATCCTCTGTGCATACAAAAGCAAGCACATTGACACTGTTTATCTCTTTTTGTACACAAATGATTGCATCTCTATACTTGGCCTATTCTATACTTGGCCTATTTCTTCTATTCCTCCATACTTGGCCTTTTTCATACAATGTATTCTGCAGATTGGTGCCAGGCTGTATTATTCTTTTTTTTTTGTATGCATTTTATGTTTGGATATATCATATGTATTTAACCAGCCCATGTTGGTGATTATTTAGGTTTTTTTCAAATCTTTGCTTTATTAAACCACTGCATTGAGTAACTTATATACACATGAGCAAAGATATCTCTAGGAAAAATTCCTGCAAGTAGAATGCTATGGTTTGAATGTGTGCCTCCCTCCAAAATTTATATGGTGGAACTTAAACCCCAAGTTGATGGTATTAAAAGGTGAGGCCTTTGGAAGGTGATTAGGTCATGAGGGTTCCACCCTGGAGAATGGGATTCATGCCCTTATGAAGTGCTGGAGGGCAGTAGCCAGGCCTCTTTAGGCCCTTCCATCTCTTCTCCCATGTGAGGATGTAGGAATCATCCCTTTCGCCCTTCCACCATGAGAGGATGCAGCCAGAAAGTGCCATCTTGGAAGCAGAGAGCAGCCCTCACCAGACACCAAATCTGCAGGTTCCCTGCCCTTTGACTTCCCAGCCTCCAGCCTTCCCAGCTCACTGCAACCTCTACCTCCCAGGTTCAAGTGATAACTTTCTATTGTTTATAAATTACTTAGTCTAAGGTATTGGGTTATAGCAACAGGAACAAACTAAGTCATACAATTTCCAGGGTGAAAGAATTTCATATCATTGCAAAGAGTGCATTATCTACATAATGTTGTTTAGAAACAATCACAAATTTACAGATCATTTCCTGAAGCATTTGAGAATACTTTTCCCAATCCCCTCCCAATACTTTAATGTGTGTTTCCCACTGGCAAGGATATTCTCCCGCATAACCACAACTGTCAAATCAAGAAGTTAACACTGAGACATTACTACCATTGAATCCTCAGACCCTGTTTGAGTTTTGCCCCACTAACATCTTTCATGGCAAAAGGACACAGTTCAGAATCATATGTTAATTTCTTTTTATTCATGTCTTTTAGTCTCCTTCAGTCTGCAACAGTTCCTCAGATTTTCCCTTGATTTTCATGACCTTGACATTTTCAAGATTACAGGCCAGTTATTTTGTGAATTATCACTCACTTTGGGTCTGTCTCATTTTCTTTTCCATTATTAGCGTAGGTTGCATTCTGTAGGAATATCATGGAAGTGATGCTGTGTTCACTTGGTGCCTCCTGTCAGGTGGTACACGATTTTGATTTGTCCCACTGATGAAAGCAATGTCTGCTGGGCGTCTCCACTGTAAAATTTATCTCTATAGATTCATGGTTTTGTTTTATTCTATGGATTATAATCCATTATAATCATTATTTATTCTGATGCTCAAAATGTCCCTGATGTGGCCAGTAGAAGCCCCTTCAGTGGGAGTCTTTCGGGCATGTCCCTATCATTCTTTGAGCACTTTCTTGCTTCCTGATACAATATGTTCCAGGCTCATCTCGCAGTCTTCCTGCCTCAGCTCTGGAATCAGCCATTTCTCCAAGGAGCCTGGGTCCTTTTCACAGACAATATTAATTAATTAATTAATTTACTTATTTATTTTTTGAGACGGAGCTTCTGTCGCCCAGGTTGGAGTGCAGTGGCACCATCTCGGCTCACTGCAACCTCCACCTCCCAGGTTCAAGTGACTGTCTTGCCTCAGCCTCCCAGGTAGCTGGGATTATAGGCAAGTGCCACCACTCTCAAGTAATTTTTTTTTTTTTTTTTTTTTGTATTTTTAGTAGAGATGAGGTTTCCCCATGTTGGCCAGGCTGGTCTCAAACTCCTGACCTCAAGTGATCCACCCGCCTTGGCCTCCCAAAGTGTTGGGATTATAGGCGTGAGCCACCGCACCTGGCTGAAAATACTATTTTAAAGCAAAGATCTGAATGACAGGTATACTCACTGCTGTTGGGGTATCACTGCTAACAAGTCCTCTGGGAAGAGCTGGGGAATTTCTCTGTGTGTGTGCATGAGTGTGACTGTGTGTATAACAGCAAACCCACAATACTTCTATATTTATTTATATATCAATTATGTATATAGAAAACCACAAGTTCACATCAATATCTCCAATTCCAATCTGGCATTGTAGGGTTCATTCTGTTTGTTTTGGTTGGGGTCGTTCCCTCTTTCTGAATGTGTAACTCTCTTGTGTGCCCTCACTTACTGTCTTTAGGACTGAATGAGTTCAGTAAGGGAGGAAGATAAGGAACTACATTGTAATTTTTTTTTCGAGACTGAGTCTCTCTCTGTCGCCCAGGCTGGAGTGCAGTAGCGCAATCTCAACTCACTACAACCTCCGCCTCCCAAGTTCAAGTGATTCTCCTGCCTCAGCCTCCCAAGTAGCTGGGATTACAGGCATGCGCCACTACACCTGGCTAATTTTTTTTATTTTTAGTGAAGATGGGGTTTCACCATATTGGCCAGGCTGGTCTCAAACTCCTGACCTCCGGTGATCTGCCCTTCTTGGCCTCCCAAAGTGCTGGGATTACAGGCATGAGCTACTGCGCCTAGCCCTATGTTGTAATTTTGATGGTTGTGGGCCGAATTGCCCTCCATAGACAATGTACCAATTTACACTCCTACTAGATACCTTTAAGCCTTTTCTTTTCCCAACCTGAGGTGAAAAAATATTATTTCTGATGTTTTAATATGTATTACTCTTATCATAAAATAGCACGTTTTTTGAATGTTTCTAATAAAAAATAGAAAAAGTTAACAAGGAGAGAATGTTGTAAATGGGTGTAACTTCTGTCTCTCATTTTCTGCCCTATGGAAAACAATAAAAAGGGTCAAAACACGTCTGCATTGGAATAGCTGCCTGGCTGTTGCTGGCAGGAACTTAGTTATGAGTTGTGGGTGTCCTTCTGTTGTCCACCTGGAAGAACAAGTGCATTGGTGCTGTCCTGGAGACTTGAACGGCTCATGTGATTTCTCAAAACGCCTCCTGCAGTCAGCCGGCAGGAGCTGGCTCATGGTAACCAAAGAGTCAGCTATGCTCAGTGCTCTGTTATTGTGGGGCATAGGCTCCAGGACAAGAAGACTTTGGACACTTTGGGTGTCCTGGAATTTCCTTCTTGTGATTAAAATAATTAAAATGTAGCAGTCTAACTCAGAGAAGAAAGGCATCCCTAATTTGAGCAGATCTTAAGACAATTATATGTTAGGTTAAAATTGCCCATATCTGAACTTTTTTTCAACCTGCAAAAATGACAGTTTCATGTGGTTCATGTTTTAGATGTTGGTACACTTGGCCGGGCGCAGTGGCTCATACCTGTAATCCCAGCACTTTGGGAGGCCGAGGTGGGCAGATCGCTTAGGCTCAGGAGTTCAAGACCAGCCTGGGCAACATGGTGAAGTCCCATCTCTACCAAAAAAAACACAGAAAATTAGCTGGGTGTGGTGGTGGGTGCCTGTGGTCCCAGCTACTCGAGAGGCCAAAGCACGAGAATTCCTTGATCCTGGGAGGCAGAGGTTGCAGTGAGCCGAGATCACACCACTGCACTCCAGCCTGGCAACACAGCAAGACTCTGTCTTAAAAAAAAAAAAAAGATGCTTGTACATTTGCTTCTATGGGTCTCTACAGCCTGAAAAGTCCTCTTCTTCCCATCCCACAGCCCCTCATTTACTTACTTCTCTACGAATAATATCGAAACACAACAATTTAGACCCAATGCGAGTGGCACCTTTCCGGGGAATCTTTGTTCATACCCTAAAGAAATTAGCTCCTTTCTCATCACTACCAAGCACTTTTCAGGGTGTATCATTATAGGTTTGTTTTTTGCTTCTTTGTTTCTTTCAATTTTAAGTTGTGCCTTAAGTTTTAGATAGCTGTTTAATCTCTTTCTCCCCTATTGGTCTACAAACTCTTTAAGGGCAAAGACTGGCTCTTGTTCATCACTATGTTCCTAGAACCTAACACTAGGCTTTGTGTAAAGTCCTCAAAATGAATGAATAAATAAATAAAAGTTTGTTGAATGAATTAGCAAACAAGTCAGTGAATGAGGATTGCAGCAGGAATGGGGAATGGCCGTCCCAGAGAGAGGCTACAGCACCAAAAGTCCCTAAAAGTCTCTGGACCCCAGCTGCTCAAGGCCCTCAAGAGGCCAACCCCAGAAGCCAGGGCAGCCCCCACGCTGGGTGCATTTGTGTTGAGCCATAGTCTTGTCGCATACCCCAGTCCCTTCAGACGCTGAGCCCTGCTGACACGCTTCATCTGCAATAGGCTGCCTTTGCTGCAGGCAGGGCTACTTACTCCCACAGAAAACTCTGCTATGGGGAAGTCCATGCTTGCCAAAACCTCTGCAGGAAGAACCATAGAATCATCTACTCCCCCAGGTTCAGAACAGTGTATACTGTCCCAGACAGCCTGCTCAGGACATTCCTAGCTTGTGAAATTTCCTTTTCTAGGGGCACTGGAGCGTCACAGGAAATGCCGAGCAGCTGTTTGCCTCTTGGGTGTGGGATTGGATGGTCCCCAAGCCCGGTAATGCTCCTTCATCACCAGGCAGCTTGGAGGATGAACCTAGGCTCAACTTGGGAATGTGTCATGTCTCACCCCAGGTTCACAGCTGATGAAATTCCCTTTTCAGTAACAGAAAGAGAAAAGCCTGGCAAGTGCCCCCAGCTCTAGTCCCAAGGAGAAGTGGGAAGACCTGAGAATACAGAGCATTCTCCTCACCTTTCAGAAGCAAGGCCCAGGGAGGAGACAGGGGCTGCCTGGGTCTCCTGGCCTTGCCTGATCTTTCCAGGGACCCAGAACCCATCCTGACTGCTGAGACTGCTGAGCATCTGGGACTGCATTTTGCTAAATGGCTTGGTGTCCTGGTTTTGGACATTGCTGAGAGGGATTCTTGGGCAGGATAGTAGGTGTGAAGGGGTCAGGTGATCAAGAACCCAGGGAGAAAAGCTGGGGAGTAGAAGAGGTGAGCAAGTGAGCAGCGTGAGGTGAAGAGGCCAGGAGTGGCACACCTGAATTCAAACCGCAACTCAGCTGAGGATGCATGACCTATGTGGTCTTGGACTGTACTTGAATCTCTCTGAGCCTTACTGTCCTCACCTGTAAAAAGGGTAATGACATCTGCCTTGCAAGACTGGCTGAGTTGATTGATTAAAATAACACCTCTCTCTCTCTGTCTCTTTTTTGTTTCTTTGTTTTGGAGACAGGGTCTCACTCTGTTGCCCAGGCTGGAGTGCAGTGAAGCAATCATAGCTCACTGCAGCCTCAACCTCCTGGGCTCAAGCAGTCCTCCCACCTCAGCCTCCTGAGTACCTGGGACTACAGGTGCAAACCACCTCACCCGGCTAATTTTTAAAATTTTTTGAAGAGATAGGATCTTGCTCTGTTGCCCAGGCTGGTCTCAAACTCTTGGCCTCAAGTGATCCCTCCCACCTCGACCTCCCAAAGTGCTGGGATTGCAGCCATGAGCCATTTCTCCTGGCCTAAAATAGTATCTTTAAAGCACCTTACCCAGTCCCGGGAACCTATTAGGTGCTCAGCAAACATCACGGAAGGTTGGGGAAAGGGAAGCTGTGTGGTAAATGTCCTGTGGAGCCAACACTCCCCCACGTGCTCCCCACCAGACCAAAGTCCCTATTGGGGCACAACTGCATTTGCTGCTGTCGCCTCTCATCTTGAAGACAGACCGTGAGACCCACTCTGTATGCAGCTTGGCTTCTGGGATCACTTGAGTGGGCAAGGTTGGGACAGTGCCATTTCCCCCACCCTGGGCCGCTGCTGGGAAGGCAGACCAGCCAGCTTCTACCATGGACTGGGCCACTCAGAATCTCCCTGTGATCCCTTCTTCTCATTCCAAGGCCTGTGGAGAAAAGAAGGAGTCTCCTTTCAGCCGGGCCTTCCCACTACCAGAGTGGGGGATTCAGCAGCAGTGCCTCTGGCCAGCCAGAGTCTCACTACCCTTGCCTCTGAGCTCCCTCCTCTCCTGCCACTTCCAATGCAGGGGAAAGAGGCCGCCTGTCACCCAGTGAGGTGGAAGCAGGTGATAAACAAGGCAGCTCTCTTCCTTCCCTAGTCTCCTCTCCATAGTCTAGGCTGCAGATGGGCCACAGCCTCAGGTTGAGATCAAGACAGGAAGGAAAATAAAGTGCTGCCCCAGGTCTTGAACTCTGGGAAGTATTCCCTATTCATACTGGGGCTCTTTTCCTTGCCTCCTGCCCAGCCCTGATCTGAAGGAACTAGGAAAGGAGTGAAGAGCTTCTCAGAACTTCCCCCAGACACCTAGGCTGCCTCAGGAGGTGATATGGTTTGACTCTGTGTCCCCATCCAAATCTCACCTTGAATTGTAATAATCCCCACATATCAAGGGCGGGACCAGGTGGAGGTAATTGAATCATGGGGACAGTTTCCCCCATGCTGTTCTCATGATCGTGAATTCTCACAAGATGTGATGGTTTGTTTTTGTTTTTTGTTTGTTTGAGACTGAATCTCGCTCTATTGCCCAGGCTGGAGTGCAGTAGCGCAATCTCAGCTCACTGCAACCTCTGCCTCCCGGGTTCAAGCGATCCTTATGCCTCAGCCTCCCAAGTAGCTGGGATTACAGGCATAAGCCACCAGGCCTGGCTAATTTTTGTATTTTTAGTAGAGATGGGGTTTCACCATGTTGGCCAGGCTTGTCTCGAACTCCTGACCTCAGGTAATCCATCCCCCTCGGCCTCCCAAAGTGCTGGGATTACAGACATGAGCCACTGTGCCTGGCCGATGTGATGGTTTTATAAGGGTCTTCCCCCTTCGCTTGGCACTCATTCTCTCTCCTGCTACCCTGTGAAGAGGAGCCTTCCCTCATGATTGTGAGTTTCCTGAGGCTTCCCCAACCACGCAGAACCATGAGTTAATTAAACTTCTTTTCTTCATAAATTACCCAGTCTCATGTTATTTCTTCATAGCAGCATGAGAATGGACTAATACAGGAGTTTGTCCTCAGGTGTCGCTCTTCCTTCCAACCTCTCCAGGAGCAGCATTCAGGGCCAAGGGAGCCACGGTGACTCTAGCGCAGTGAGTCATAGGTGTTCAGGATGCAGAGGGAAGTTGTGTTGGAGAACAGGATGGGGCTGGGCTCCAAAGCCAAGCAGAAGAGAGTGGACTTGCTGAAGATGGTGGGACAGGGACACACACTGGACCTGGACTAGGGGCTTAGAATTTCAGCCCAGCTCTGCCACCAACTAGCCATGTGGTCTTGATCAAATCAGAGTACAGCCATGCACATCAGTGCCCTCGTCTGTAAAACTGGGCATTTGAAACAAATGACTACTGAGGGTTTGTGGTTTATTTTCTTTCCTGCTCTAAACAATAAAGCAAGACTCATGAAGAGTTTCTGAGAAAGAAAATGATGTCATTCAAGCCAGGTCTTGGTAGAATTAGCCTGGAAGTGGGGTGCTGGGTGTTGAATCAGCTGCGCATTGTGGCTTAAGCCAGTGGGGTTTTCTGTTCTTGCAACATAAAGAAGCCTGCATGCTGTGGGCAGTGTTCTTTGAGGCAGATATTAAGACACTGGGCTGTGAGACAATCATGTTTGAGTCCCAATTTCCATCATTTCAGAGCTGTGTGACTTTATAATAAAGCTTCGCTACACTATTTTGAGCCTGTTTCTTCACCTGCAAAGTCAGGGTTAATCAGAATGCCCACCCCCTGGTGCAGCTGCCAGATCTGGAGTTACTGCAGGCCAAGAGCCTAGAAGGGCGCCTGGTACATACGGAAGCACTCAGTAGACGCTGGCTTGCATCAACATGAATCCTGGCATGCTGCCAGCTATCTTTTGCTTTTGGCTTCCCTGAATGCATTCCCACCATTTCTCCCTGTGTTCCTGCCCTCCTCACTGCTCCTGCCCACTGAACTGCCGGCAATGCCTACTGTTGCCATAGTTTCCCCAGATAAATAGAATGCTTCCCTTATTTTAACTTGGACCTCACTGCCTTCTTCCTGAAACCCTTGGTGTTTTGGGAGCCATCACCACAGTTCCTTCTCTCTTCCCGTCTGCTCCAAGACATCTGCCCTTTCCAGGAATATAATCCAAAGCCTTCCTTTTGTGAGCTCATTTCAAATGTGCTCCTTGCCACACTGAAGCTGTGGTGGCTTTCTGCCCGGTTTGAACCTCCCTTTGCTGTTGTCCCTCCCTTGCCCAAGCACCCGCACCCCACCATACTGAAGATTTGGTGGTCAAGACTCCTGTGTTTTGTTTTTTTTTTTTTGAGACAAGAGTCTTGCTCTGTTGCCCAGGCTGGAGTGCAGTGGTGCGATCTCGACTCACTGCAAGCTCCGCATCCTGGGTTCACGCCATTCTCCCGCCTCAGCCTCCTGAGTAGCTGGGACTACAGGCACCTGCCACCATGCCGGGGTTTTTTTTTTTTTTTTTCTGTATTTTTAGTAGAGACAGGGTTTCACCGTGTTAGCCAGGATGGTCTCCATCTCCTGACCTCGTGGTCCGCCTGTCTCGGCCTCCCAAAGTGTTGGGATTACAGGCGTGAGCCACCGCGCCTGGCCAAGACTTCTTTATTTATTTATTTTTTGAGACAGTCTCGCTCTGTCGCCCAGGCTGGAGTACAATGGTGCAATCTCAGCTGGCTGCAACCTCCGTCTTCTGGGTTCAAGCGATTCTCCGGCCTCAGCCTCCCAAGTAGATGGGATTACAAGCATGCACCACCGCGCCCAGCTAATTTTTGTATTTTTAGTAGAGATGGACTTTTGCTATGTTGGCCAGGCTGATCTCAAACTCCTAGTCTCAAGTGATCCAACTGCCTTGGCCTCCCAAAGTGCTCTCCATCCTGGCTCCTCCACCTCTTGCCAGGCACCCTCCCTACAGAGCTAGTGCCTCATCCTTCCATGACCTCCTGCCCACATATGCTCTTTCAATCTAAGGTTTCTGCAAAAACTTTCAGGAAGGATCACATCTCCCAGAATTGCCTTCATAAGAACTTTTTTTTAATTATTTAGAAATGCAGTTATATACATAGAACAATTAAAATTAAATTAAACTTTGTACAAATATTAAAATACTATCTTCACACCCACTGCAATGTACAGGATACCAAAAAATATATATATAAAATAAAATAAAGCAAACCCAAACTGATTGAGTGACATCCTGCACAGAGTCAATTATGAATGTGTTGTTTTAAACCATTATATGAGTACCATTCTGCAAAGGATTCCATAGTGGTGCGATAACCTGAAGAAGCCAGGGCAGGGTGTGGGGACTGCCACACAGCCCACGTACATCTCTCCTCCTTGCTTGGCAACTGAGTGCTTTGCCCCTGCATCCCCTTCTACTAGCTCTGCTGCTTGGCAGAGGGGCTCAACCTTGAGGTTTTCATTCACAATTCTACTAGGGTTTCAACTGGAAATTAAGAGCCATTTCCCAGCAAAGCTGGGCCTGCCACCTTTTCCTCTCTAGGGAACCAGCAACTACACCATTCAGACCAAACATATGCCAAGCAAAATATTCTCCAAGTCCCACCTTGGGGCACCAGTAAGGACTGTCCCTATTCCGAGAGCTGACAGACCCAGCAGGCCCAAGAGAAGCTCCCAGCCTCACTCGCTGTCCTTGGCATTAAGCTGTGAAGCCTGCATGCTGCTTCCCTGCTAGGCCTTTTTTTTTTCTTTGGGGGTGAGGAGTAAGGATGCAGAAATGATTGCAGCATATTTCATTCTCTACGCAAGGATGTTCCTCGGAAATGGAGGCGACATTGTTATGTGGGAAGCAAGTGGTCTGAGGGCTCAGCTGGGACTGGGAGGGAAAGGGCTAAGGGCTATCTATTCCCGTGCCACCACCCATGAAGCAGGAAGAGTATACCTTTGTCTGAATTGCCATCTGGCTTCTCCACTGAACTTTAAAGCTGGCGGGAGGAGGGGGAGGGCAAGATGAATGGGAAAGAAAATATTAGCTTAAGATCTGTTTGCAAATGGAGTGCTTGTATTTATAGAATGTACATTGAAATGCCTTATAAAACCAAACAAACTCATAAAGTGGCCAGGATTCAGTCGATTTCACAGTTCATACCCAGTGAAACGGGAACACAGCACATAAAATACAGAAATGGCAAAAGATAGAGCCTACCTGCTAAACTAAGGCATGGAAGGGACGGATATTTTAAGTGATTTTCACCATATTCTGGCCCTTGAAAGTCATTAGAATGTGACTGCAAGTCACCAGGATATTAAACCTGCACTGAGTCAGCTCAAGTGTGCCAAAAAAAAAAAAAAAAAAACAAACACCAACAACAAACAAACAAAAAAACCCAAAAACTCTTTTAAATGTCCTTTGGTGCTGGCCATTCTCCTGCATCAGCCTCTTGCTGGAATGCCCTAGAGGTGAGCCCGGTAAAGCAGGGCTGTGGCCGGTTTCTTCCACCTGTTTCCACCTGCTCCAGGCTCCTCAGGCAGCCTGTCTTTTAACAGCCTGCCACCTGCTGCTACCCTTGTCTCTCAGCCAGGCCCTACCTCAAGGCAGCTGTGGAGTCCCTAATCTCTCAGTAAGGGACAAAGCCCAGAAGCCCTAGAAATAGCAGCACATGGCTGATGGTTAAGAAATTGCTTTGGAAGAAAGACATAACTGGAGGAAGAAGCTGTCACAGACTTCAGCAGTGAGGGGAGAATGAGCTCCTGCACTCACAGGCCCAGGAGCCTCTGGGAAGTGGGCCTCATCAAAGCCAGTGACAAGAAGGAGGGGAGGAGACGAGAGGGGAGCCAAGGCTCCCATTGTTCTAATTTCTTCCTTTCCTACCAGGTGGGCAAGCCT
This sequence comes from Homo sapiens, assembly GCF_000001405.40. Taxonomy (NCBI): domain Eukaryota; kingdom Metazoa; phylum Chordata; class Mammalia; order Primates; family Hominidae; genus Homo; species Homo sapiens. Next base: position 69,713,306 of record NC_000014.9, on the reverse strand, counting down.
GGGCTTGTGCTCCTCAGTGTTGTTAGTGGAGGGCAGGGCGGAAAGAGGCTTCAGGAGAAGGAAGGCTTTTCATTTCACCAGGGATCAAGCTGGTCATCTATGCAGCTGAATAAACCCCAAACAAAAAGTGCAATCTCTTAGGGGGACAAAACCCCAGAGTAACAAGATAGAAAAAGGTAAGATCTTCCATTTTAAAAACCATTCTAGAATAGAATGCGGGTTTTGAAACAGTGAAAAATAAAAGCTGAAGGCTCAGCAGTGAGACTTCAGATTACCACCCCTCCCCCTTTTGTCACTGCTTTCTGTTTTGGAGGAAGACAAGGGCACTGCTGTGGGTGAGGTAAGGCGACTGGGGCCATTAGGGACAGCCCTCCAGGTGGGCCCATGCTAGTCTCATCTGCCTTCTAGTTCTAGCACCTTCTCCAACCAGCTCCCTACCTAACTATGCTTTCCTGGACTCAGCACAGCAGATGAGGGCTCCTGGGGGAGGGGAAGTGTGGGAGTGGCCAACAGGCACAGCAGGCACTGCCCTTACCCTGAGAGGAAGGAAGGAAGACTACAAGTGGCAGCAAGAGGCCAGGGAATGACCGGGTGGTAAAGTGCGTGTGTAAGCGCGGAGGCAGGAGGCAAGAGGGTAAAAGGCTGGGAGAAGACCACTCCCCTCATCTTCTAGGCCACCCACGCCTGGAGCCAACCCTGTTAGGTAAGGTACTGAAAATAAACTGGGATTTTTATTTTTACCACCCCCAAGCAGACAGGCTCAGGGGAGGAGCAGACATGCAGCACAGGGTCCGCTTCGAAGTTTCCCAGCCACAGTGCTTCAGAAAATTTCAGAAAAAAGCAAAACAAACATTCCTTACTGCTGCATCTATCTTCTAAGATGACAGCAGTTGGCAGAGTTCGTCCACCCCAGCCTAGTTAGCATTCAACACATGGCTATGGGAGAGCGCCCCTCATCAGTGGGCTCCTCCCCCAGGGCCCTGTACTCCAGGCTGCTCCACACCCCTCTGCCCACCTCAGGCCATTAAGGTTGGGGTGCACACGGACTGTTTCTCAGCCCTTCCCCCAGGGGGCCAGGGAAGACAAGGAATTGCTTGTCAGCTGTGACATGCGAGGGGTGGCAGGGAAGGGCAGAAGTAGGAAAAGCAGCAGCACAGCAAGCAGCAGGCCACTTCCTGGGCACAGTTACTAAGGCACGTGACCATGGTGAGGAGGATCCTCAGGACCGGGCTGGAGCTGCCTGCAGCCACCCGGGGACTTGGTCTGTGCCTCTCGGCCTCCCCTCCGTCACCACAAACCCAGAAAGGGGCAACCTGCCCAGACTGCCAGTGACCAGATGGGCACTCCATGGCATCTCAGCAAGTCTCCTTCCTGCCCCAGGCCCCTGTGGGCAGCAAGAAAGCCAGAGCTATCTGGGATAAAACCCAGGAGGCAGCATGCAACTTCCCATTATACTCCAGGGAAACAAAAAAAAGACAAGGCCAGGAAGGCCGATGCTGGAAGTAGGAAGTGAGAACTTGCATATTAGGAAGACAATCATTATCAGCCATTTTCCTTCTCTCCCTTGGGATCTTCTGGATGCTTCTTGGAAACTCTCAACTCAACAGGGCCAGGAGCTTGTGCCTTTGGGCCAGATGGCTGGGTCCTGGGCCAGCATGGACATGATTCTCCAAATCTTCCATCCTCAGCCAAGGAAATATGCCACCAGGGTCAACCCAGGGCAAGCCCAGGGACTACACTCTCACCCCAATTAGAGCCACTTCTGCCACTCTTGACTCAAGAGCTCTCACACCTGGATCTGTTCCTGCAAAGGGCAGTAGGGGCAACCCTCAAAGGAAACAGGACAGACCCAGGCCCGGCCCCCTGTGTGGCAGGGGGCAGCAGTGCAGCCACTAAGGCTTGTGGACAGCAACAAGTCTGCATGACAGGGAAACTGGACAGGGTGGGGGAAAGGCACAAGTAAACACAGCAGCACTCAGGCCCACAGGAGCTGGTGGGGGCTGCCGCCAAAGAGCTGGCTGGAGGGGACCCAGAGGCTTAGGAAAAGGGAGGGTTTGATCCAGCACATTCAAATATGTCTCTGACAGATGGGAAGGCGGGGCCAGGCAAAGAGCCAGCTCCTCCAGCTGTCCAACAGGCAGATGGCGAGAATCTTCCTTGAGTTTCCAGCAAGGTGGGCCTATAGGGCCCTCAGAGATACACAGATACACAGGTGGCAGCTCAGGTATCCAGGTAAGGTGGCTGGAGAGTACAGGGTGCTCAATCCCACAGGGAGAGGGAGGAAGGGCTGAGAGAACCTCGCAGAGAGGAAAGGCTGGCCGCTGCCCTCATGCTTCTTTCAACAGTGGAATATCTGCAGGAAGACCAGAAGAAAAGCACAGTGGTTACCTTGTGTGGAACTCTAGAGCACTCTCGACCCCACTGCAACTTAGGGGCTATCCTACATAGCCCCTAATTTAAAGAAAGTAAATGTCCCACTCATACACTTCTAGGTAGGCAAAAACTCCCTACCTCCTTTTTTATGACTTTCTAGCTTATCTTTCCCAGTGCCTATGTGAAAAAAACTCAATGTTCAGCCTGGTATTCAAACCATCCTCCTCTCTGCCTTAGCTCTGCTGGTCTAGTCACTTCCCTTTCTCTCCTAATTCCACCCTATGAGGCTACAAAGCCCTGTGAAGTCCCACTGCCTCCTAAAGCCATCTGCCAGTCGTGTGACTTTGGATAAATCACTTCCCTTCTTTTGGTTTCAGCTTCTTCATATGCTGTGGGCCTCAAGCTCCCAACTTCCTAGGGTATTATCAGTCCCAAACAGCTCAGGCATGGCCTGCAAGGAACTTACTGACTTAATGTGTCTTGTTTTCTGAACCCCTCATTCTGACACAGACACTACAATTCCTGGTTCTATTATTTCTTGAGTATAGGCCCCACCATCTTCCCAAATGGCTGATACTCCATGCAGGAAGATAGCACATTTCATATTTCTCTGTATCACCCCTGAAACCTAATCCAGCATTAGGCACAAGATGGCCTCTCAAAATGCTTGTTAAATACAAAAAACAAAGCTAGGTAGCATGGAAGAGGAGGAAGAGGAGGGCCCCACCTTGGCTCCTTGGGAAGATAAGGGCTATGATATACACTTACACACATCTCACAATATGTGTGGCTGGCTGACTGTGGGGTTACTGGCTTCCAGATTCAAACCTGGGTCAACTATTTTAATGGCCAACCAAGAAAAACGAAGGCAAGATGTTGATAACCAGGAAGCTCCATAAACATGATCTGCTTTCAGTAATTTCCAACTTCTTTGCTTTCAGATATTCTAAACCTTAGACATTTACTATGCCCAGGATACCCAGGAAGCATAAAGTTTCCTCTAAGGCTCTTTTAGGGAGGCTTTCTGAGTGTACAAGTCTTCACTATAGAAAGGGGCATCTAGGGTTAGTCTCATCCTGAACTACATTGGGATTTACCTTAAAGACAGCTTTCAAAGTGACAGACTCAAGCCCAGGGTAAACTGGCCTCTGGCAAAGGCAGAAACATCAGGAGGCAGTAATTTCATTCTATGATTGTTTGCCACAAGGGCGCTAGAGCCACCTGGAAGGCAGAATCTGGCTTCAAATCCCAGCTCAGCCATTTACCAGTGGGCCAAGTGACTTACCTTCTGTGAGCCTTAGTTTCCTCAGCTGTAAAATGGGGATGTCAATAAATACCTGTGTCTTAGGATCACTGTGATGTTTAACTGAGATAGTGCAAGAAAACAAACTAGCATAGTACCCGGAACACTCCTGTTTAGAAAGCAGCAGCTGTCTGCTCTGGAGAGGCTCTCATTTTTCTGTAAAATAACCTATGCCTCCTTGTCATTCCTGACCTTTCAGGAACATAACATTTATAACAAGAGGACAGACCCCACCCCCAACTCCAGCAAGCTGTCTTTTGATTTAGCAAGGCTCTGTGACTATGAATGGCCTCAGAGACTCCAAACGATCAGAATTCACAGGCGTCAGTGAAAAGTCTCACTACAGAGAGCCCAAAGCCCTACTCAGTACTCTGAGGGTGAAATTCTATTTTGTAGGCAAATACCCCAGGTACTATCTTTTTTTTGCTAAAAATATACCAATTATTTAGAAAGGCTCACAGTCCTTCCTCACTCCCAGCAAGGACCCTAAGCAGCTAATAATTCATGTTCAGCTTGGACCACTCACCATCTGTGTACTCCTCTGACGTGAGGGATAAAAGGCTTTGTATGTCACTGTTCTCTGAATCTGCAGTTTCTTTGTGTGCCAGTTGGCGGTTCCCTGAGCCGGCCACCCAGGAAGAGGTGGTTGCCTGATGCACCATCACAGTCTCTGAGGCCCGAGAGCCCCAGGCTTCACATAGTCCAGACTGGCCTGGGGCCTCATCTTCTCCACCTGCAGAGGAGCAGGCCCCTTGGTCCGGCAGCTGTTGCTCCCTTGGCACGCTCCTCCCACTGGGCCCAGACCCTTCTGACAGCACAATCTGTACTCTGGGGTCAGCAGGTGGCACACAGTGACCAGAACTGCCATATACAGCCTCCTCGTATGATGGTAGTGCAACCTGGACTCCATCCACCATGATGGAGACCTGGTCCCCAGATACCCCCTGGTCACGCCTGGAGTGGAGGAGGAAAAGACAAAGGATGAATTAGAATAAACACACAGAGAAACAGGCATGATAATAATAATAGCAGCCGCCACCATTTTTGAGCACTTACTATGTGCCAGGCAAAGCACTAGGAATTTTAAACACCTTATCATGCTGGATTCTCACCTGAGCCCTTTCAGGTAGGGATTCACCAAGAATGCAAATGAGGCTCAGAGAAGTTAATTAACTTGCCCTCAATCACACAGCTGGTAAAGGATGGAGCTAGGATTTGAATCCGGTTCCATCAGCCTCCAAAAACTGTGTTCTTAACCTCTGGGTACACAGGCACCTGGCCCTTTTACCCTGTGGAAAAACTAGGAGCCTAGAGACCCAGAAATAAAGGCATTCATTCAGCACAGCTAAAATAAGGAAGTGAGAGAATGATGGTGGCATATATCTGTGAATATACTAAAAACCACTTCACTGTACACATTAAATAGGTACACTGTATGGTATGTGGAATATATCTCAATAAAGCTGTTAAAAAACAGGGAAGTGTGGGATACTGGACTAGAAATCACAATAATTTTGTTCTGACTCAGCCATACTGCTTTTTTTAAAAGTTTGTAAACTTTTTAAAAACTTTGAACACAAATACAGAAAACAGAACACAAGAAAAATCTGTGTACAGCTAGCTGATTTACTCCAAAAGTAACACTGGTATAAAACTCCTATATAGGTCAAGAAAAAGAACACTGCCCAGAACCTAGACCCTTTGCACCTGTCCCAAAATCACTCCCATTGCCTCACCACAAAAAGTAACCACTATCCAGACTTTCAGGAAAATCATTTCTTTGCTTTTTATTTTAACAGTTCTACTACCTAAACATGAATCCTTCAACACTGTGGTTTAGTTTTGCATATATTTTTTTTTAATTAAAAAAATTGTTTTTCTTTTGAGAAAGGGTCTTACTCTGTTGCCCAGGCTGCAGTGCAGTGGCGTGATCACAACCTACTGCAGCCTCAACATCCTGGGCTCAGGTGATGCTCCCACTTCAGCCTCCCAAGTAGCTGGGACTAAGGCATGCACCACCACGCCTGGCCAATTTTTTGTAGAGACGGAGTTTCTCCATGTTGCCCAGGCTGGTCTTGAACTCCTGGGCTCAGGCAATCCTCTCACCTCCTCCTCCCAAAGGATTACAGGCGTGAGCCACTGTGCCTGGACAGTTTTGCATATTTTTAATCTTTACTTGAATGGGATAACAAAGTAAATTTGTGAGAGTATATATCTGTTTCTGGCTTCTTTTACTCAACATCATACGTGTGAGGCTTATTCATGCGGATATCTTTTTTGGGGATCACTTTTGTTATACACATAAACATGCCTTTTTTTTCCCTGAACCATCTAAAAGTAAGGTGAAGATGTTATTTAACATATACTTCCTAAGAGTATCCTTTCTGATACAACTACATCATCAGATCCCAGAAATTTAACATTGGTGTAATACAATAACACAAATTTTCCTAACTATCCAAAAATATATCTACTTCAGCTGCAGTCTTCTTTGTTTTCATCCAGGACCCAATTAAGTATCATGTATTGCATTTAATTGTCCTGTGTCTTTCATCTCATTTAATCTGTTAAACAGTCCACTATAGTTTTTCTTTCATGACATTGGCTTTTTTTTTTTTTTAAAGAGTCCAGGCCAGCTGTCTCAAAGAATGTCCCACAATCTGGACTTGTCTAATAGTTTCCTCAGCATTGGATTCAGGCCAATCCTAGGTGATGCTGTGTCCTTTCAGCTCATCAATTCAAGAAATATAGATGGTCTGCTGCTAGACCATATTATTGTTGCTAGATTGTTGTTAGTAGTTCTCAATTTCCTCACCTGCTCTTGGCAGTAAAATCTGTGCTACATACACTCTGAGAGGAGAGAAGTGGCAGAGGTTTTTGGAAGGAAGGGAAAGTTTGATGGGAGCACTTTAGGAGGCTGAGGTGGGCAGACTGCTTGAGACCAGGATTCAAGACCAGCCTGGCAATGTGGCGAAACCCATATCTATAAAAAATACAAAAAAATTAGCTGGGTATGGTGGCACATGCCTGTGGTTGCAGCTACTAGGGAGGCTGAGGTGGGAGGATCACCTGAGCCCAGGGAAGTCATGGCTGCAGTAGGCTGTGATCACGCCACTGCACTCCAGCCTGGGCAACATGAGTGAGACCCTGTCTCAGAAAAAGAAAAAAAAGAAAGCAGTGTGTAAACTGGCATGTGCTTGACTTTTGTTACTCAAAATAGTGTTTGGCTTAAAAAGTAATATATGTACACAGCACAAAATTTAAATGGGGTCTACAATGAAAACCAAATCTCCCCTCTACTCAAATCAAGCAAAACTAGCCAGTTACTTTTAACAAACTTACAAGTTAACTATAGGGGGGAAAACTCCCTCATTTAGATGAGATGCAGAACTGATCAGTTTGACTTTAGGTGGAAATAGCTGATCATTTCAAGTAAACAATCCCCTTCAAATCCTCTTCATCCTATTAATTAATAGCCTTTAAAAATAACTGCTAGCCTCTTCCCAAAAACAAAATAAAAGAAAGAAAATCACACATAGTACACAGAGATTAAATCTAGCCTGGTCCTTGTCTGTAAATCCAAATTTGGAACATTTTACTGAATGCAGTTTACTTTGGCCCTTTATGTTTGTGAGTTATAACAGTGACTGATGAAGGACTGTGAAGATATATAAAAAATGTTACTCCTCAAGAGGGAATGAGGAACTGCCAGGAAGGGCCAAGTAACTGCAGAAGCCACAATGGCCTGGAAGAAAAGTCCATCATCGGGAATCCACTCAGGGCCAGCACCATCAGCTCTGCCCTTCATGCTCCTCGCCCCTAGACAACTTGTGGCTAAAGCAGTAGACTGGAAAAGGAAACTGATAAAGGCAGGCAAGAAAATCCACTTCCTTTGTTTCTCCTTAGTGTGGTGCAGTGGTTCTAAATCCTAGTTGCACAGAAAAACTGAGCTTTTTATAAAAAGTGAATGCCAGGGTTCCATTCCAAACCAAATAAATCAGAATGGGAATGGAGGCCCAAGTGTTGATATTTGTTTTTAAACTCCCCCAGGTGCCTCTATATTGCAGCCGGGACTGGGAACCAGGAGTGCAGGATAGTGGCTCACAAACTTAAGTGTTCATCAAAATCACCTGGACAGCTTGTTAAACAATATCACTGGGCCTCACCCCTAGAGCTTCTCATTTGGTTGATCCTAACAAGTTCCATGATCCTGACGCTGCTGGAACCACGCTTTGAGAACGACTGGTGTAGGGGAAATGACATGGCTTTGGAATTGAACAGATTTCCGTTTTTTTTTGTTTTTTTTTTTTAATGGGACAGAGTCTTACTCTGTCTCCCAGACTGGAGCGCAGTGGTGTGATCTCGGCTCACTGCAACCTCTGCCTCGTGGGTTCAAGTGATTCTCCTGCCTCAGCCTCCAGAGTAGCTGGGACTACAGGCGCGCGCCACCACACCCGGCTAATTGTTTTGTATTTTTAGTAGAGACAGGGTTTCACCATGTTGGTCAAGCTGGTCTCAAACTCCTGACCTCAGGCAATCCGCCCACCTCAGCCTCCCTAAGTGCTGAGATTACAGGCATGAGCCACCGCGCGCAGCCTCAGTTCTGAGCTCTGTTGTCATCTAGAGGTATAACCCTGAGTGAATAACCTCTCTGAGCCTCAATTTCCTCATCTGCAATGTTCCTATGAGGATTAAGATAATGTATGCAAAGCAATAAGCACAATGGTAGGCACATCTAGGAGTTTGACACATGGCAGGGCCCTCCCCACTCCCTGGACACACACAGACCCACAGAGATTGGGGCCACCAGCAACCCTCCACCAAAGACTGGCCCCCACAGTAATGCTTGCACCTGCCTGTCTCATGTCAGCTCTGCCACTGGACTCACCTGCTATGATGGAAAGACTTCAGCTTTGGCTGCAGCAGCACAAACAGCACCACGAGGAGGAGAATGAGCGCCACGGAGCTGGCAGTAGAAGCCACTATAGACAGCGTGGGGACCCCAAGTGATGTGTGGGTGTCTTTATCTATAAAAACAAGCCATCATCAGAAGGGTTTTGTACCCAAATACACAAAACAGCTGATGGGCCCCACAGCTGATCTTGTCAAATGCCTCCTGAATGGTGCAATACAGACATCCTACGGTCAGGGTCATTTCAGGAATAACAGCTTAGAATGACCTATGTATACACAGTTCTTTTGGAAAAGGACCATTTCCCTATCCTGTTTCCTGAATAAAAAATTCCCCTCACTTCCAATCTTTGAGGTCCATCTGACACATAAACTCACTTAACCCTAGAGATTTTACCTTTATAAACCACTTTGATCCCATCCTCAAAAGCTTGAAGTTTGTAAACATCGACAATTTAACTGGGCATGTCATTCCACCATCTTAAGTTCTACCTATGTTCTTCCCAAGTGGCAGGATTAATTTACAGAAACTGGACTGTAATAAAACCTTGTCTTAAGATCCACAGCTTTAATTGTAACTCTCAGGTTGGTTCCCACCCATTTCTGGGGTGTCATGGGTTAAACATGCTCTGGTCTTGAAGCCTGAGTGGGAAGCACAAAGATGGTTATATGACACACTTTCCTGCAAGCAGGTGGATTTTCCTGTCATGCAAGACAGGAGGAAGCAGTAAGGGTGGGAGGTCTTTTGTCCAGCTGGTCTGTAGCTCCATTCAAGGAAAAATGAAATGGACGATACATTAGAGAAGGTATTAGCATTGTGCTCACTGTGAGGGCAGAACATGGTCAAGGGTCACCAACACTTGGCCATGCAAACAAGAGATCCTGAACATCAAACGGGCTTTACAGAGCAGGGCAGATGGCTCAATGAAATGCAATAGGACATGCACCAGCAACCTCAAGTATCTTCCACAAAGACATGAAGACCCAAGGAAGGGAGGCTGCAGAGCATCAACTGGGGCTGGGCTGCACCACAGCAAAGAGTGCTCTGGAGGAAGCATGCTTTGCATCCTGTGAGTTAACAGAAAGCAGAACCCCAGCAGCATCCCTTTTTCATCTGCCAGACTGACCCTCGTTGAGACGGCAGCTAATCTCCATGGCTGGTTTCCACTCGCCATTCTTACACGTCAGGTATTTGTAATCGCCCTTCAACATGTAGCCTTCAGCACACAGGTATTCGATGACACTGCCTGCTGTCAGGGGGTCTCTGCAGGGCCGGGGGTGGCAGATGTAGCCACCATTCTCTGGCTCCGGTGGTAGGGGGCACACTGCAAAGACAGGGAGAGAGCAGGGGTACAGTGGTGAGGTATCCAGTAGGAGTCTGCTCTCAGTGACGCAGCTCTGAAGGCCTCTACAGGAAACACAGGAGGAGGAAATAACCCTTTCCTTGGAGGAACTGTTAACCAAACCCTGGAAACTCAGGTTGCCACTGACAGAGGGGAAGTATACTGGCAACAGGGGAAGTGGCTGCTTGCAACATTTCCCCCTCCCTCCCCACCATGCCTTAAGAGAATTCCATCCATAAATGAACGGCAGACTCTAAAGTCTTGAACCTATAGAGATCTAGACATAATAGTTTTAATAAAGCCTGTATTATGTAATAAAGCCTGTAACACACATAATAAATCACAGTGAAAGGAGGAAAAATGTTGGCCTTGTTTCCACTATCAATGTCAGAAAAGACTCTATTGTATAATAAAAACGTGCACTCTTGGCCTGAGAGGGGATTTCTGATAGATTCCCTGGGAGGCTTCCCAAACCCCCTGTGCATCTTCCATTCTCTGACTATAGTAGTCAATGGCACCACCTGTCTCTATCCCATGATAAATTCCACATTTTCCACTGATATACAGGACTGCCTAGTTTCAAAAGCACCTTCACCTCCCGCCTTATTTGTCCTGACAACTCTGTGAGACAGCTATCGTTACTCTCCTTTGAAGAAGAAGACACTGAGGGCCACAAAAGTTAAGTGACTTTTAGCCAAGCTTACAGCAAGGTAAATGGCAGGCTTGGGGTCACAGTCAAATCTTCTGATTCTAAACCTCTGCTCTTTCCACCAGCAGACATTGCTTCTACCCCATGAGCTGCATGGCCTTTAAGGGGTATGGGTGTCAAGGTTACCTCCCCTTTGCCCTCTTGAAACTGGTCAGTTAGGGAGATGGCAGGCAGTGCCTAGGTATGGTGGGAACCCTGGTAAGTTGCAGTAATGGTAAGTCAGAGGATCTGGAAGGTCTGAGTGGACCTGAGGAGGAAAAGGACAACCTCTGATTCCACTCTGGACTGACACTGCAAAACTGAAGACCCCAGGTGGTGGACTGCCGGGTATTACCAGCCAAAACAGTAAAAGTGGGGGCACTACAGAATCACTGTTTGGAATGTTGGGCTGAGGTAGAATGGCCAGGCAACCATGAATGCAATAAAGACCAAAAGTTTTCCAAAGGAAATTCAATTTTGCTGACAAATAACCTGCCCCCATCCTGAATATCACAAGGACATCTGTATGAGAATAAGAACGGTCGTTTTCTTTTTCTCATTTCCTCTGACAGGCCTGGAGTGACTGAGAGTCACACCACAGTGCCTGACTGTCCAAGATAAGGCAGTTTCTCATCCACGAGAGGGGCAGACCACACCACCCTGCAGCTGTGCCCTCACAGCCTCTCTCACCCATGCCTCTTCTTTCCAATCTACAAATGGCTGTTAAGCAAGCTGACTGCCAGCCAGGTTGGGGAGTGGACACCAAATGGAAAAGAGATGATGGCTCCCTACCCTCAATTTGCTTATCACTTGAGATGGGGAGAAAAGGCACTTTTTCTTTTCTTTTTTTAGGTGATGCCACTAAAAAAAAGATGCCATTTTTAAAAAGCTATTAACAAAACAAAGCTGGGTAGGTGCCACAGGGATCCAGAGAAGTCTGGCAGCTTCTCTGAAACTAGGAGATGAGCTCCAGTAAGCTCCCCCCAAGTCCCCTCTAAGGACCCAACTTGTCCCTATTCTCCTCCACCACCAGAGTCTTGAACAGGAGAAAGAAAAACGCAAACACTCCTTCTGGTGCTCTTTAACTTTGGCCAAGTAGTTCAGAGCGCTGGCCAGCTAGATTTCCAAAGAAACCTCCGCAAACTGCTTTAGCCTTTACACTTTCCCTCTTTTGTTCAGGGCAGCAGGCCTGCCACAGATCTCCCTGACTTACTCCCTGGCTCTCCTTGGACTGTGTCTAATTGGTTCATTTCCGTGGCATAATTAATGCTGAGCACCCCATGGCAGCTCCTGAAAGCAGGCAGGACCCACACACAAGTCCAATGTGCTGGGAAGGACAGTCTCAGGGGAAGAGCTGCTGATTCTAAAGCCACTCCTGCTTTGCTGGGTATCTCTTTCCATAAAACCCACATCTCCACAGAATCTTTGAGCGGGATCCTGGCGGTCACCTAGCACTCATAATAAGTCAAAAAAAAAAAAAAGTGAGGACTGCAAAGAAGTGACTTGTAATTCAGTTTAATTTCAATTCAACTAATACTTACTGATTCTGAGTAGGGGGTCACTGTGCTATGCTCTGAAAAAGGACAAAAATATAAGCACCTCAGGTCCTTCTTGCCAAATAGGGATATGACCATTAAGTGCACACATATATTTAAAAAATCATTCTCTTTATGGCTTCTGGATTAAGGACTCTTTCTCTACTCTGAGTTTATAAACATACTCTCCAGTATTTTCTTGTAATGCTTTAGGGATTAGGTTTTTGTTATCTAAAATACTTTTACAAAACAAAACAAAACAAAAAAAACAGACTCATGGGAAATATACAAGGTATTAAATTCAAAAAGGGTGCACAGTGTCCCGTCACTGGGTTCCTCTTTCCAGAGTCACTGCACCAGTTTCTACCATATTCTTCCAAAGATACTCTATATACAAATTTATTCTAACACATGTCAAATAATGTGATTTGTGCCACAAGAGAGGAAGTTCAAAGCAGGAATAGGGGAGCCTAGGAAAGGATCTCCGAGGAAGTAGCACTTCAGATGGGGCTTCACTTCATCAGGAAGGGAGGTCATAGTTTGAAGTAAATGCACTGAAGTGGGAAAATGTAGGTTAACTTCTGAGAACAGCAAGCAGCCCAGTTTGGCTGGGTTGAGTAATTTTTTAAAAGTCCAAAAAAATAACATGAAGAGTGATGAAACCATCTTGTAGAGGACCTTCCTTACAAAAGGAGATATTTATAATTATAGTCAAAGAAAAGGGGGAGCCGCTGAAGGTTCTTGAGAAGGGTAGCATTATAAGAAAAGCAAATTTATAATTTGATATAAGATGGACTAGAGGTAGGAGAGACCCCTTAGATTATGTCAACATTATAGCAATCCTAGTATTGATACAGGAGCTAGAAAGAAATTATTTAGGCAGATAGTGACGGCAAAAGAGTCCTCAGCAAGGTTTCCCTTTTAAGGAAAAGCAGCCTCAAAATCATTTCTTTTCTAACAAAGAGCAGCCTGAAAAATCGAGCTGCATAGATAAGCAAGCTGGAAGCTTGCACAGGTGAATGCCAGCAGCTGTGCCAATAGAAAAGGGCCACCTGGAAGCCAGGTGTGTTCAGAGTGGAGGCTCCATGTTCCCTTTTCTTTGTCACCACGTGTACAGTAAGGACCAGGCAACATGGTGCCCACCAGGTAGAGAACCCATCTGCATAATAAAAGATTAGGGTGGGACGGCCAGCTATTTCACAACTATGCAAATGGCACACATGGTCCAACCAATCTTTCGTCCCCTATGTAAATGGTCTCCTCAAGCTCATCTATAAAACCTTCTTCATTTAACTGCAGAAGTGCAACCCATTTTCTCTGGGACCCCTCTCTGTGCAGAGAGCTCTTCTCTTTCGCCTATTAAACTTCCACTCTTAACCTCACTCTGGTGTGTCTGCATCCTAATTTTCCATGGCTGTGGGACAATGAACCTCAGATATTACCCCAGACAACAACACCGCTTCAGTATGGCAAAATAAACTCAGTACAAAAATTATTTTATGCCCATCTATGAAGGTCATAGAAAAGAAAAAAGCTGAAGTATGTCATAAGATGCTCCAGGTTCAAAGAAGAAATAAGGATGCCTAAGAAGAAAGGGTCCAAAAAAAAAAAAAAGGCAAGTCATTTTAAGACACTAAGAACATGTGAAAAGGCTGGGTACAGTGGCTCACGCCTACAATCCCAGCGCTTTGGGAGGTCAAGGTGGGCGGATCACTTGAGGTCAGGAGTTCGAGACCAGCGTGGTCAACACGGTGAATCCCCATCTCTACTACAAATACAAAAATTAGCCAGGTGTGGTGATGCACACCTCTAGACCCAGCTACTCAGGAGGCTGAGGCACAAGAATTGCTTGAACCCATGAGGCAGAGGTTGCAGTGAGCTGAGATTGCACCACTGCACTCCAGCCTGGGCGACAAAGTGAGACTCTGTTTAAAAAAAGAAAAGAAAAGAAAAGAAAAAGAACACATGAAAAAATATGATCCTCTTGACCAAGAGCAGAGTCCTGGCCAACAGCAGGTGTTGAAGAGGACCCTCTCAGTGATGCCTGGGAAGAACACTAAAAAAAGGCAAAACCCACATGGCAAAGAAATTGTTCAGTGGCTTCCAGAAGCCACAGTCTAGGCAAGAAACTGTCTTGATCTGTGCACCAGGATCATTCTCTGACAATTCCAGGTTCGCAGAAGGAAGCTCTGTACTTAACTCTGGGAAGACAATGAACTCACCTGATGTGGCAGTGCCACATAATTTTAAAAAGAAAAGGAGAAAGCCAGACAATTTTACAGGGGGAAAAAAAATCAATGAATTATCTTTAGCTTCCTCTCTGCTTTCCATTCTGTCCCACAGCCACATAGGCTTTCAGTGAGCACAGGGAGTGCACACAGTAGGCATTCAGTCAAAGTCCACCCTGGTAACAATGCAGATGAGACGCAAAATGATCTAGCTGATACTTCCACCACCTCCGTCGCCTCAGCCTGACACCCTCAGCAGAAACTAACTGCTGAGGACCCTCACCAGCCTTTCTAAAGGTTCCCTGGTTTTGTTGGTTTTGCAGGCCAACCTTTCAGAAGGAGGCAAATTAAAACAAAACAAACTTTTACAACATTCCAAAACAAGCAAAGCAAAATAAGCTCCAGGAAAGGCCCCAGGGGTCAAAGCATTCAATTTAACAAACAGAACAAATACTTGAGCTCCTTCAAAACAAGGTGTGGAAAGCAGGGAATATAAAGATCAGTGTGACATGCATGCAGCCTCAAAGGGATTAGGGTTGAGTAGGAGAAGGTTACATTTAAATTATCTATAGTGCATTTTTTGTTTGTTTGTTTGTGATGAGTCTCGCCCTGTCCCCTGTCACCCAGGCTGGAGTGCAGTGGCAATCTCAGCTCACTGCAACCTCTGCCTCATGGGTTCAAGCGATTCTCCTGCCTCAGCCTCCTGAGTAGCTGGGACTACAGGCGTGTGCCACCACACCCGGCTAACTTTTGTATTTTTAGTAGAGACAGGGTTTCACCATGTTGACCAGGCTGGTCTCGAACTCCTGACCTCAAGTGATCTGCCCGCCTCGGCCTCCCAAAGTGTTGGGATTACAGGCGTGAGCCAGCGCATCCAGCCCCTTTACTTTCCTAATCAACTTGCTATCACTTTACTCTATGGACTTCCCTAAATTATTTCTTGTGTGAGATCCAAGAATCCTCTGTTGGGGTCTGGATCTGGACCTCTTTCCGGTAACAGAACCATGCCCCCACTACAAGCCTACAACCTAGAGAAGACAGACATGGTCACAGCCAACTCTACCCTAAACCAATGAAGTAAGTGTTAAATGTGACACAAGCTGCTCAAATATGAGCTTTTCTAATAGCCTGGGGTGTCCTTCTGGCTAGGTGATCATTCATCGGCACCCAGGGAGGGTAAGAGCCTGAGGCAAAGAAGAAAAAGAGTAGAAACTAAGGAGAGGAGGAAGGAATGGATGGAAATCACAAACCTAGCACAAAGCTGTCCAACAGAAATATAACATGGCCACAGATGTAATTTAAAATGTTCTAGTAGCCAATTAGGAAGATAAATGGAAACAGGTGAAATTAATCTTAATATTTTATTTAACCCAACATATGAAAAAATATGTTGACTGATTACATCTCAACATGGAGTCAACATAAAAATTCACTAATGAGATACTTTATATTCTTTTTCTCATAGTAGTCTGTACACTTATATAAGAGGCATCTGAATGACAGCGACTCCATCTTGAATAGGGGCTGAGTAAAATGAGGCTGAGATCTACTGGGCTGCATTCCCAGGAGGTTAGGCATGGCATTCTAAATCATAGGATGAGATAGGAGGTCACAAGATACATGTCACAAAAGACCACACCAATAAAACAGGTTGGGCAGAGAAGTCGACCAAAACCCACCAAAACCAAGATGGTGACGAAAGTGACCTCCGGTGTCCTCACTGCTCATTATATGCTAATTATAATGCAGTAGCATGCTAAAAGACACTCCCCCACCATAGCCATGACAGTTCACAAATGCCACGGCTACATAGGAAGTCACCCTATATGGTCTGAAAAGGGGAGGAACCCTCAGTTCCAGGAATTCCCACCCCTTTCCTGGAAATCTAATGAATAATCCACCTCTTGTTTAGCATATAATCAAGAAATAACTATAAATACACTCAGCCGAGTAGCCCATGCCACACTGCTCTGTCTATACTGTCTATACAGCAGCCATTCTTTTATTCCTTTACTCTCTTCATAAACTTGCTTTCACTTTACTCTGTGGACTCGCCCTGAATTCTTTCTTGTGGAAGATCCAAGGACCCTCTCCTGGGGTCTGAATCTGGACCCCTTTCCGGTTACACTTATAGCACACCTCAACTCAGACTAAACACATTTCAAGTTCTCAGTCACCACATGCAGCCACCTAGTAGTGGCTATTGTAGTGGACAGCACAGTCTCAGTGAAGGAGTCCTTGGCCAGCAGTCAGGACAGGTCTGGGGATCTGAAAACAGTGGAAAAGGTTCAGAACCACACGACAGGGCATGAAATGTGAGGCTGAAGATGTGGAAAGAAGGAGGCATTTAGCACTAAGGGTCTCTTAAAGTTATTTAGAAAAGCACTATTTATGTGCTTGCTCTCAAAACCCTTTCTTATATATAAAGGTTATATTTCTACTTCTAGCCTTCAATGGTTTGTAGAAGCAAAGAGATCCAGAGAAAAAGCAAGGTCAATACAGAGAACAAAGGTGTTTAAATGTATAGTTCTGTTTGTTTTGGAATAAGGAAAACAGTAATTATTGCAAACAGATAGTTTATTACCTGTGCCAAGTACTCTTCTGGGTTCTCTCTCTACATGAAGCAGGTACTATATTTTCTCCACTTTACAGATAAGGACAATAAGGCTTAACTGAGTTGAGTGATCTGCCTCAAGCCACACATTTGTAATTGGCAGGGCTGGATTCACCAGGAACTCTGGCTTCTAAGCTGCAAGCCTGACCACTCAGTTAAGCCGGGGCCTGCTGAGGGGGGCAGGGCATCAGGAAACCTGCCAGGTTCTGTTTTGTGGCTCATTTCCCCATTTGATGTGCTCAGCCTATGGCTTTGGAGACATCCAGCTACTTCGTACAGCATATAAAAGAAAGAGTTATACCCAGTATGAACAGCCTTTTTCAAAGGGGAGGTGATTCCCCTAAAGAAAGCCTCCCAGGCAAGTTGGAATTAGAGCATTCCAGACAAATACAAAGAAGAAAAAACAAGTGATGACATCTGATATGGTCAAAAGGTTTCTTCTGAAGCCTCCTAATAACAACAGCTTGTGTTCACTGACTACAGGCCAGGCACTATCTGAGCACTTTACATATGTAACTCATTTAAGTTTCACAAAAAACCCTCTAGAAACATAACAATGCATTACACAGATGAGCCAGGGGTTGAGATACTTGCTCAATTTCACCCAGCAGGTGGGTGGCACAGTTAGGATTTGAACCCCAGAAGGCTGTATTCCCATTCCACAGCACTGGGCAGTATCAGAGGGTCTCGGAGTCAGGCTTCTCTCACACCCATAATCTGTCAAGGGAGCCACAGATGGCAGAGTCCAGTGACAAGGACAAACTGGGTACTGCCCGTAGACTCTGGGCCTCAGTTTCAATACATGAAGGCAATGAACCAGATCACCTCTGAGATCTCTTCTGACATTTGCAAATTTGTCTAAAGTTGGCGGGCCTCACTACCTCTCCAAGGTTCCTTCGCAAAAGTCCTGCAACCATTGTGGTTTTGGATACAGCACAAGGTGTGAGGGGCTAGAGATCATCCTGTCCATGCAGAAATTCCTGCATTGGGACAGATTCCTGCTGTGGACTTGTGGTGAGAGCCGGAAAACAGGCAGGAGTCCCACTACTTAAGAGATACCTGGGGCTGCTCTGGTCCATGGCTCTGCCCAGCCTTCTGGCTTCCCGATCCCGCCAAATAGTCAAGTCTAAAACAGGCTGCAGTGAGAGGGAAGTGAGATGGTTTCTCATGCCATTTGCAACCTTCCTCTCCTATGAGACAAATCTTCCTAGCAGTCAGACAGGAAGCCTATTGTCCAGTCAGGATCCCTTTTCTCATGAGAACTTCCCACTCACTGGGGGAGAGCCAGCCTGCAGTAGCTCAAGCCTTTTTCAGGGTGTGGCACCAGAGCTGGGGTGGGAGAACACAGGGAGAAACCACCCATGGCTCAGGATACCTCCTGTGGCTCTTCTCGGGCCCCCACCACTGCCTTCCTAAGAGAGGCTCAACCTAAGCCCTCCTCGGAAGATCAGCAACTGACAGGTGGGACAGGCCTCGGACCTGTCCATCTTGTTTTAGGCCTGGGCCCCTCACTTCCTCCCCCTCACAGGAGAGGGAAAATGCCAGCCAGAGGCCTCAGAGCCAACAAGCACTTTCTTTTACTGCACCCTGCCTCAAACATAAAAACTCCTGTCACCTGGAGTTTTCATGTTTGAGGCACAGCGTTCAATAAAAGAAAGTGCTTTTAGTGGCACCTAAGCCTCTAAAGTCCTTAGTCATTCAGTCAAAAGTACTGTTTCTCTCCCAGCCTAGAAACCCTGAACTGAAAGCACATGCAGTCAGCTGGAACCCCACCCATCTCCAAGGTTCCAAGGCCACCTTCCCAGGCATGGCCAGAGAGAAACAATGAGCAGCACAGGGTGGAGCTTACCAGCTTGGGCTGAGACTTCACGGCCTGGGGTTGCACACTGCTCCAACAGTTACCCACTGGGTAGTCCTGGGGAGATCTTCCTATTCCTCAGTTTCCTCATTTTTAACATGGGGATTCAAAAGGTTAATCACAACTATGCAGGTAAAGTACCTGGTAATGGGTCTGTCACATACTAAGTGTTCAATAACAGCAGCTTTATTATTCCTCCTCTGGGTTCCCATTACATCATCTTCACTCCTATTTGTAACCTATCACCATGTTGTAGTCTCTGCAGGTTTTCTCACAGGTTGGTCCTTCCTCCATTTCCCCAATAACCACCAACCCACACATCTAAGCCATAGGGCAGAGACTTGTTCTGCTCATTTTTGTATCCCTAGTACCTGACAAATAATCCAGGAGATAGTAGATGCTTAGTAGAAAACCAACGTGACTTGCAAAATTTTGTCCTTATTTCAAAACACTGTCTTGTTTTCAACTGCAATGAGCCACAATGATTTTTGATTTGAGATGAGTCAATAACAGACAACGGCAAAGAGCATCCCTCTCCAGGGTACAATTTGTATTCTCCAAATTGGTACCTAACTGTGAAAATACACTGCCTACCTAACAGGACCAGAGCCACATGGAGTAAGAGCATAGTCTTGGGGGTCAGACAGATGAATCTGGGTTTGACCCAGGGGCCTGCTCTGCAGCCTTGTCAACTGTCATAACTCCTCTGAGCCTTAGTCCTTAGCAGCCAATATCCAGCTCCACAGGTTTTTTTAGAAGACTAACAAAACTGCATACTTGAAAGGGTCTTGTATCATGCCTGGCACATTACTAGGCACTGATAAATTTTCATGTAGCAAACTAAACCCTTATCTCTGATTTTTGGAATGGGCAAAGGCTTTGGTAAAAAGAAAAAGGATTATTTCAGAAATTTCTGGATATTTGGAGAGGGGGCAGGCAGAAAACAGAGCAGGATAAGCACTTTGGGGGGTGTTGTTTGCTCTCTCCTTGTTCCAGTTCAGTAATAAGCCGGCTCCTTTTTCACTTCCCGTTCTCGACAATACAGCCCAGGCTGCTCTTGGCTGACAAATGGACTCCATATGGCCTGTTACCCTTTCACCTCCTCTTGTTCTTGCAGCTCAGGGACCCAGGGAAACAGGCTGCCAGCTGGGGCTGGGAACCCCTCCCCCTCCCACTGTTACCACTGCTACAAGGAGGGGCAGGCCAGAGGACCATTCTCCTTTATCCTGCTGCTCCAGGTACAGGGCTAGCCCACTCAGTGCCCAAAGCCACTACCACTGCTATAGGTCAGTACAGTGACCTATAGAGCAGAGCCCACAGCTGTCTCCTACCTCCACCTCCAGATGGTGGGATGACAATGGAGGTAGGGAGCCAGGCTATTCCACGTGTATTAGCAAGTGTTACTGTTTCCCTTGACAGTGGCAGTTAAAGGCTTAAGAAAAAGCAGAGAATGCTTATTTTTTCCTCATCAGCCATTGTCACTTCTTGTTCTCATCTCCTTCACCATATCACCTACCTGAGCTAAAATATGTGTTTGCTCTCCCCTCTCAGAATTCCTCATCTCCCAGAGGAGATGACTGGTCCTCTCAGGAAAGGCCCAGATGGCTGTTTACGGCAGCTCAGAAGGAAAGCTGATGAGCAGGTGATAACTGACTTAGGAGTCTGGCTTAGAGTTTAAAACAGGGTTGGACTCTTGGGTACAAAGGCCAAAATTGTGGTTTCATTTCCAATCCTACCAGCTAATGGTAACTCCTAATGCCAAGTACAGTCCCAGGCATACACAGCAGGGCCTCAAGAAACACACAATCAAATTTAAAACAAATTTAATGATCTCTGTTGCCAAAAGGATACAAGTAAGGAAGAGAATTAACATTTATCACCAGGCACTGCACTGGTACTTTAAAAGTGTTATCCTATTAAATTCTTCCACCCTAGGAAGAAGGTGGTATAAAACTTGATTTGTTCAGAAAAAACTGAGGCTCTGAAAAATTTAGTAATGGACTGAGGTCACCTGGATTCTAAGTACTAGAGTCTGCATTCAAATTCTGGCTGGCCCTTCTACAAGGAAGCTTCTTGATTTTTTCTGATGCCACCAGAAAAAAATTTACCCCAAGACCTACAAAGTATAACATAGGGGTGGGATACATATGGACAAAAGCTGCTATAATTCCTGTTTGGAGAAGAATATGGCCTGGTGAGTTTAGTTGTGCCCAGAGGACTCAGTTCATATCTCAGGTGGGGCCACATTTTTCCAGAGAAGTGGAGGGAAAAGGCAGGACAGTTTCCTTCACTAATTTCTGTGTACTACACACAATGGAGCTATTTAAGGATCACAGACAGCAAAGTTGCAAGTGGGAGAAGATATGTAGGCATTTTCAGCTGAGAACACATGACTTCTTTTTTTTTTTTTTTTTTGAGACGGAGTCTCACTCTGTCACCCAAGCTGGAGTGCAGTGGCATGATCTCAGCTCACTGCAACCTCCGCCTCCCGGGTTCAAGCAATTCTCCTGCCTCAGCCTCCTGAGTAGCTGGGACTACAGGTGTGTGCCACCACACCGGGCTAATTTTTGTATTTTCGGTAGAGACAGGTTTCACCATGTTGGCTAGGCTGGTCTTGAACACCTGACCTCAGGTAATCCACCCGCCTCAGCCTCCCAAAGTACTGGGATTACAGGCGTGAGCCACCAAGCCTGGCTGAGAACACAAGACTTCTAAGACGGATATGTGAAAGGAAGGTTGTCACTAAATGCAGAATGGGGATGTGACCTGGAATTAGAGGGCTACCTTTCTGCCACTGCCCAGAACACACAGGGCCACTGGGTTATCACTGCCAAAGCCTGAAATAAACAGCCTCTGCCACATACTCCCAAACAGGGGGTCAGGTAGTGTGCTGATTCTCTTAGGCACTCAACAGGCCACTGCTACTCACAAAGGCCTAGACAACCGCAAAGAAAGAAAGGAAACACCAGTAAACTCTAGTTATGGATGGTAACAGAAATCCACTGAGGCAATGGCCCCAAATCAGCAAAACACCATAGGTCTTTGAGAAACACCAGCAGTTGAGGGGTGGAGGTCTGAATGGGTTTTTTGTCGCTGTTGTTTTGAGATAGAGTTTTGCTCTGTTGCCCAGGCTGGTGTCTAGTGGCACGATCTTGTCTTGGCTCACTGCAACCTCTGCCTTCTCCCAGGTTGAAGCAATTCTCATGCCTCAGCCTCTTGTGTAGCTGGGATTACAGGTGCACACCACCAAGTCCGGCTAATTTTTTGTATTTTTAGTAAGGACAGGGTTTCGCCATGTTGCCTGGGCTGGTCTTGAACTCCTGACCTCAGGTGATGCACCTGCTTCAACCTCCCAAAGTGCTAGGTAGGATTACAGATGTGAGCCACTGCACCCAGCCCTGAATGGTCTTTTCTGAAGAAAGAGATGTGACTGGGTCTAAGGCATACCATGAAGTGAGCCCTGTACATTCTGGGGGGTGGGGTCCCACCATGAGACAGGGACTACAAATACAAAAGAGACAATAAAAGGTGTGTGGTTTTTTGGTGCGGGGGGAGAAGGCTGGACGAAGCCACAAGTCTCATCTCTATTGCCTCTAAACCAACAAGCCTAAGGAACTCTGTACTCACTGTGCACAGGCAGGTGGAGCGGAAGTTACCAAGTCCATTGACCTGGATATTCTTCCTCCTTCATCTTGTGCGGGATGAGATTCTCTGTTTTGAACAATCTTAAATCACAAAATTTTAAACCACCTTCTCCCAAATGACCACCACGGGAAAAGCAGTTTGCCATGCCTTCTTGGTTTCCTTTGCACTTCTCCAGAGGGGAACTTTCACCAACTGATTCTGGACAGTGAGGAGTCAAATCCCCCTAGGAGTTCTCTTCTTCACTACTTTGAACTTTTGCATCTTGCTCAGCATACCGTGCTCCTGGAAGATCCCTCTGCTCCTCTTACAAGCTTTCTCTTTGAATCCTTCCCACATGCTTTTCTCTGAGGAAGCCACATTTAAGCCTCTTTAAGGATCTTTAAAAACAACAGGAATGCATTCAAGCCTGCTGCAAAGTCCAAAGAAGGATGGATGCCTGGCCCTGAAGGTCTAGGACTGGCCTTTGATGTTAGCCTGTGTACATATTGGTCTGGCTCTAGTAAAACAAAACAACCTCAAAATAGTGAAACTTGGGCCTAAACTAGCTAACAGTCAGGAGTAGAGTCTCAACCATGCTTATTTATCAGGGTGAGGACCATGCCCCTGTCACCTGTCATGGCCTCTTTGGCTCTTTGGACCCTAGTCTCTCGCAAGCCACTTTTGACTGACCAGTCTGAGATGCCCAGTCAGAAGACAATGCCTCGGACAGCCTCACACACACTGCATGTTGGTAGATAACTATGTCTAAATGCCACATTGATGTACAGAAAATACCTTTAATCTCTTGTCCTCCAGACAGCAGGTTTAATAACTAATAACTTTCACTCAAAAGAGAGTAAAAAAACACGGGCATGGTGTCTTAGGCCTGTAATCCCAGCACTTTGGGAGACCAAGACAGGCGGATCACTTGAGGCCAGGAGATCGAGATCAGCCTGGCCAACATGGTAAAACCTTGTATCCACCAAAAATACAAAAATTAGCCAGGCAACGTGGCACACACCTGTAATTCCAGCTACTCGGGAGGGCTTGTCATGAGAATTGCTTGAAGCCAGGAGGTGGAGGCTTCAGTAAGTGGACATCATGCCACTGCACTCCAGCCTGGTGAGAGCGAGACTCCATCTCAAAAAATTAAACAAATTTTTAAAAGTATTTACAAGTGTTGATTCTTATTCTCTCCAGGTTTCACTTTCCTAACAAATTCCTTCATTAATTTAACAAATTTCTATTAAGCACTATGTGTTAGGCTGCTGCTAGAAATTCAAGGGCAAATAATACACATGGTGTGCCCTTGAGGAGACTTCAGTCTCTTTGGGAATACAGATAAGGAGCCCCAACAAGATTAAAATAATAGTAATATCTACTGCTTCTCTTCCAGAATCCATGTAAGGATTATATTTACCCATTCATTCTTTTTTTCTCTTCCCTCAGCTTAATTCTGCCATTCATTTTTTCAACAAGTTTTTACTAAGTACCAAAAGCACTGTGGCAGGTGAAGGTAGGCAGGTGGAAAGATAAAAAGATATTGGTCCTACACTCTAGGAGCTTTCTAATAAACGACTATAATAGATATATGTTAGAAATCAATATGGGCTACAGAAAGTTCTGAAGAAGGATTAATCCAATGGGGAAGAGACCAAAGAAGATTGTAGAAATGGTATCAGAGCTCCAACTTCACGGGAAGTAGGATCATGAGTACGGGATAAAGGATTATGACGGGGATAAAGGAGAGTGGGAAGAACATGGTGGGGGACATAAAGGCACAAACAAAGGCAGAGAATCAAGAAGAGGTGGTATGTGTACGGAGAAGTTAGCAAATGTTTCCAGGTTTAGCAGGAGATAACTGAACATTTAGAAAATCAGGCTGGTGCCAGAAGAGGGTAGGCCCTGAATGCAAGGCTAAAGAATGTGGAATCTTGGGTTCCTCTTCCATGAGATGAGATTTTAAGGACACTTCTAGGCCTATAATGCAAAGCCATGTTATTCATAATAAAATGAAAGCCTGCTAAATAGTACCAATCCCACTGAAGAAGCTGCCCATATAAGTCTGCCTACATCCCCTGGAAACTATTTTCCAATGGGCTGGATGTGCTGACAGGGTGGAGTGGGGAAAGGGGAAGAAAACGGAAAATCCATTGCGAGTTTTCCAGTGCAGATTCATCATGCTTCTCAAGTTTGCCTAGGTGAGAGGGGACAGGAAAGAACTAAAGGGGCTGGAGCACACAGAAAAGGAATACAAAGATATCTTGTGGTCAGTTTCTTTTCCAGGGTTCTCTCACATGGCAGCAGATGGCCTATCCCTGGAGGACTGGATCCAGAAAGCAGCTGCTCCCAGGTCCTGGTTCTAACAGCTGGGGTCACAGGTCCTCTATGCACAAGCTGAATGCCAGAAATCAATGGGTCCCATTGTGCCTGCATGCATGCATGAGCTCTCACGTCCAGGCTCATGCTCTATAACTGCCTAGAACAGAGGACTGGGAAAAATAACACTACACACTTTGAAGGACTACATTTGCAAACTAATGGAAAGATAAGAGTATTATACAATCCAATTTTATTCAAATTACCTTGACTTTGCTAGGTAGCTACTAAGATGCTAATTATTTGGGAGATAGAGGGTCAAGAGGGAGGTGGAAGAGGAACAGAAGTAGGGCAGATCATAATCAGAAGCTAATCAGTAAATACATCTAGTCTTCTTCTTTCTGCCCAATGCAGAGAGGAGTCTGGCTCTACCACAACAACCAAAAAGCAGGCTAGATGTTTCATGTATTAGAAAAGGGCATACAAATTCATAAAACAATGTGTGTGTACACAGAAGAGTATAACTGTATAATTACATAATTAGGCACATTATAAAGTATTTATACTGCTGAGACTAAAAGCCCCTACTCAAAGGCATTCCACCAAAGTTGAAAAGGGAAAAAAAAGAAAAAAAACAAAAAGAAAAAAAAGCATCTAATTGCAATCTTCCACAAAGCCAGACATCCCCAGCTGGTGCCACAGCTGAATTCTCTTAATTAACAGTTGTAACGGCAAGTACGAAAGACACTGTATGCTTATCAACTCCATGTCGTGGCCAGCCAGGCATGGGAGAAGCCCACAATACTGCTATAATTAGAGAGATTTTTCTCTATTATAATAGTACCCCAGTGTGGAATGTTGGTTAGTTTTTCTTAAAAACTTTGTCGTTTAAAGCACATACATAACAACTCTACCTACCCACAGTTACGGATTGAAACTAGAGAGTTTGAGAAAGTTCACAGTCTAAGAGCTGGTTTATTTTTTGGTGGTTTTCTCTTAACTCCCCAAACCTGGGGTTTTATGTTATAGAAGGCTAGCAATGTTTGAGCAGGCCAGTCTTTTAAATAAAAGCCCATCTGACAGCTTAAAATCATAAGCTAGGCCGGGCACAGTGGCTCACGCCTGTAATCCCAGCACTTTGGGAGGCCGAGGCAGGCAGATCACCTGAGGTCAGGAGTTCGAGAACAGCCTGGCCAACACGGCGAAACCCCGTCTCTACTAGAAATACAAAAATTAGGCCAGGTGCAGTGGCTCACACCTGTAATCCCAGCACTTCGGGAGACCAAGGCAGGCAGATTACCTGAAGTCAGGAGTTCGAGACCAGCCTGACCAATATGGTAAAACCCTGTCTCTACTAAAAATACAAAAATTAGCCAGGTGTGGTGGCGGGTGCCTGTAATCCCAGCTACTCGGGAGGCTGAGGCAGGAGACTCGCCTGAACCCAGGAGGCGGAGGTTGCAGTAAGACAAGTTCGCACCACTGCACTCCGGCCTGGGCAACAAAGCAAGACTCTGACTCAAAATAAAATAAAACAAAATCATAGGCTAAATGTATCTAAATAGAATAAAGATGGCAGAAATTAGCATATAAATGAGTACAACATGTGGGGAAAAGCATTAATTAATACATGAAGAGACTAGGTCAATGATATGGTTTGACTCTGTGTCCCCACCCAAATCACATCTTGTAGCTCCCATAATTCCCACATGTTGTGGGAGGAACCTGGTGGGAGATGACTGGAATCATGGGCGCAGGTCTTTCCCATGCTGTTCTCATGATAGTGAATGGGTCTCACAAGATTTGACGGTTTTAAAAAACGAGAATTTCTCTGCATAAGCTCTCTTTTTGCCTGCTGTCATCCATGTAACATGTAACTTGCTTTTCCTTGCCTTCCACCATGATTGGGAGGCTTTCTTGGCCACCTGGAAATGTAAGTCCAATTAAATCTCTTTCTTTTGTAAATTGCTCAGTCTCGGGTATGTCTTTATCAGCAGCGTGAAAACAGACTAATACAGTCAAAATATAATGTATACTCACGGCTCTAGAAGGGCCTTTCACACTTACAAAAAGGGCTTTGTTTTTGCACGACTCTTACACCAGAACCTGTTGCAGGTAGTCCCCCTACTTCCCTAGCAAGGACCCTCATAGTCAAACAATAGGTTTACATATTATAAGAAAGTCAACTCAGAAAGCCAAAAAAGATCATAAAATATCTAATTATAGCCTGCCTTTTAGAGACAATCTTGGACAACATAACCTGGGCATTTTAGACATTATTCTTTGGCTATGTGTGTTTTTTTCTCTTCACAACTGAGCAGGGCTGTTGACTTAAGTCAATGAGTATTCAACTGACACTAAAGATTTCTTACTTCTGGCACATTCATTGAATTTAAAAATCTTCCAATTCTATCAACTTTAGAAGACCTACCCTTACAACTACCATTAGTCATTTCATTTTTCCATTTTCAACTCATCCTTACAAAATCAAGGTCTGATAATGCAAGTTACCGCTGCAGCACATGCGGCTGCACAGAGGGAGCTGGCGAGGCTGCTCAGAGTGTGCTGCTGACTGGCAGGCAGCCACACCTCACGACTGCTCAAGAGGTTCTTTCTCAGCTGCTGCACAAAAGTCCAAATTCATTACACAAAGGCAATCGGGGTGTCAATTTACAATTTACCAGAGTACAGGTTGTTCCCATGACAAATGTTTAAAAGCAGACTGCTTGGAGTTGCTTCAGAATCCCCACTACTTCTACCCTCTCACTCCCCCACCACGGGTTTAGCAAATTTAAGATTTCTTGACCCTTTACTCTCCTGGCCCTAAAGGCCCGGAATCACTTTGGTGAACCTAGAGAAAATATATTCTTAGGTAGGTCCACATACAAATGAGGAAAGTATCGAGGCTCCAAAATCTCTGGTACTCAGCAACACACACACACCTGCATTTTACTAAGAGACCAGGACTGCCTCCAGGGTCCCAAGGTTTGCACTGAATCAAGGGAAGTCAAGCTAGTCAGCACCTGCACAAGCCTGTTACTCAGAATGACAGCTCATCCTGGGTTTCCCCGAACTCTATGCTTTGTTGATGGAAAAGACTTGTCAAATGTGCAATCAGGGCCCTGAAGAGTCTTTGCAGATGCCTCCAGCCAGACCTTGCAGTGGAATAATATTAGTAGCACAATGGTTCCTTCCTCAACGGGGAGCAAAGTGGCCTATGGGAAACAATCAATGTGCCTCATGGCTCTATGCATGTGGGTAATGTCCTTTAGGGCTAGTCCATTTGTACTTGCAGCCCTTCACTTGAAAAACCAAGTGAAATCACCCACCACAAAAGGACAAGCTGCAAGGCAACCGATTCTGAACTCTGGGCTTGCTGCTTTCTCCCTCAACCCTTCCTGAGTCCTCTCAACTGTCCCATCTTAGAAGGACAGAGAAAAATGTGAAAATTTCCCACTGTGACTTCTGCAAACGTGGGCAGAGCCACTGAAAGTCAGGCCTGTTTAAGGGCCACCCTGCTACTCAGCCCTAACAAAGTGATAACTCAGAGTGGTATGAGCAGTTTATATACCAGCAGTTTGAAACAGGATCAGGGACCTAGAGGCTTTCAAGAAAAGTGGGAAAGAAAGTGCTGGTCTTTAAGGAGAGTAACTTGAGGTGAAAGTTGAAGACTCAAGGCTCCAAGCTAGGTGTTTCTCCTTAGCTCCTCTTCTGCCATAATGGCCCCACATCTCCTGGCAGGGGAAGTCAAGGCTAACAGTGGAGCCTCGGCCTGACCTGCCCCCTGGCCTGGCAACATGCTGAGCTGACCCCCAAAGAGGAACTGCTCATTCACGGGGCTACAGACACGATGTTTCCACTGGCCACACCACGGTCTGTGCCAAGGCACTTGGGGCAAGTCAGCAGGCCCAGCCCAGGGACAGCAGCTGAAATTGAAACTGTCATTCATTTTCTGACCATTAAGAAAACTGGGCAGTATCTCCCTTGGCAATAATTTACTCTCCCTACTTCTACTGGAAATTAATAGATCTTGGGATAAGCATAACATGTTTATGCTTGCTTGTCCCCACTGATAGAATCTCTCTCAAAATATTTTCCCAATTTCCATTTTTCACAAAGAGTGACTGCTAGATACATATTCTACTAAGAACACTTTTTGACTGATCCTCCTTTATTTTACATATCAGATTTCTTATTTAAAATCTTTAAGGGGGTCCAAGGCACAAAGGAAGGTAGTAACACCCAATATCAGCAAAGGTTTCAGGAAACCGCACTTTCACTGCTGATTAGGCATGAAATGACTGGTGTCACTTGGACCTGGACAGTATCTCCTGGCCAATCTCATTCTCCAACGACCAGCAGAGGCTTGAAACCTGCTACACATTATGCTTGACCCCACTGGGTCCGCTAGGAGACATCACTTCCACCTGCAGCAGGGCCTGATCAAAGCTTTACTTAGGGTGGTGCCTGAGAGCTGATCCTACTCAGCCAGCAACAACCTGATGGCTCCAACTGCTGTGCCCTGCAAGGGGGACTGCAGAAGGCCACTGGGCCATAGGCACCACTATGGGACCACACTCACCCAAGACAAAAAGAGACTTCTACCAGGCCATTTTCCCCTCCCAGTATCTTACAGCATGATCTCCTTCCAAAAACCATGGACAGAGTTGGGGCTCCTTCCTGCAGCCCACCTGGAGGCATACTATAATTTATCCTCATATGCAAATCTTCCCCCCAAAACACATTTTTCCTCATGATGATTTCTTTTCAGAATCGTCCAAAGGCTGCCACTTTCTACAAGTCTAAATGCTTCTGCTGGCTATGCATGTCTCCACACTTTGGCTTGTTCCATTTCTCCAACATCAAGTCCAACTAGGCAGCCCCCACTGGCCTCACTCACCCATGATCATGGCCTCAGCTCAGCCTTCTGGCCCCTCTCAGAGATTTCTCCTTTCCCTCTCCCTCAACATCCTCTAGTTTTTCCTCCATCAACTCAGACCCAATCCATAATGCAAGGCCCAATCTTAGTGCTCTCTTTTACAGGAATATCCTTCCTCTCTAAACAAAAGCATCTATGTCTCCACAATCTAGTAGTTAAATACCATTTTGTTCACCATTTCTAAATGTGACATGGTCCTCCTCATGAGCTCCTCAAAAGGGCAGAATGCCCACCTTTACCATCCTGGACATATTTAAGGCACTAGACAAATACCTGATGGTGTCTGTGTCTGGAAGGGCTGTTACCTCTCACAACATATATAAACTAAATGCTTAAAAAGATCCCAGCTCTTGCTTCCCAGGGAGCCTCTCCTCCTACACCCCATTCCAGACCCCAGTCGTGGCAAACTCTGAGACTTCTGCCTGTAGACAGCCTGCATTTCAGCTCACATCAAAGCATGAAACAAAGGACTTCACAACACCCCTAGCCCCCTTCAGGCTCCAGAGCTCTTCAAGGGCACCCTGTTTAAACAGGAGGTACAGTATATTTTTGGGAAATGATGAAGCAACTTCCCATAAGAGGAAAGTAAAAATTCCCCAAGTGAAAAAAAAAAAAAAAAAAAAAAAAGGCTTCTTGGAAAACAGAACAGCTTCCCTGCCAGGGCAGACAGAAAGGATTTGACATTCAGGCTTTTCATCCTTGGCAAAGCCTGTTCTAGGAGAGACAGGGCTGCAGGGGAAAAAAGGGAGGCAACTTCTTATGATCAGATGTGGAACTCAGCATAGTTTTCAGAGTTGCAGTCTCAACCAAACACTTCATCTGATATTGCCCAAGGTGCCACTGGGACTCCACCCTCCCACTTTCTCTTTCTCTTAGATGCCTTAAACAACAAATGTGATTATAAAAAATTAGGGGAAAATGTAATCTTATTATAGATAAACCAGAGCCCTTGCTCTTTAAAACAATTGCACAGTGACTCCTTCAGTGGATGGCAAAATCTTTTTGCAATAACTATACTCTGTTTTTTTTTAATTGGGGAGAGTTTTAAATTTGTATTTCATACATTTGGTTTGATTACAAGGATTGTTTTTCTCATATGTGCCAGAGGGCCTGGGTTCCACGGGAAGAGACATGGGCAAAGTAGGGCAGAATGAGAAAATTGGTACCATTCTGCTTGATATGCAAGGCTTACCTAATTACTTCTTGTATTTTACCACTTCTTCTTTCTCTCTTTTTTTGAGACAAGTTTTCACTCTGTCACCCAGGCTTGACTGCAGTGGCATAATCATAGCTCACCAATGCCTCAAACTCCTGGGCTCAAAAGATCCTCCCGCCTCAGCCTCCCGAGTAGCTGGGATTCCAGGCATGCATTACTATGCATGGCTAAATTTCAGAATTTTTTTCTAGTAGAGATGGGGCCTCGCTGTATTGCCCAGGCTGGTCTTGAATTCCTGGCCTCAAGTGGTCTTCCCACCTTGGCCTCCCGAAGCGCTAGGATTAAAGCATGAACCACCCCACCAGGCCTATATTTCATTTCTCAAACTACTACTAATCAAACATTACAGCAACATTAGCAGTACTCTTCAAGTAACAAGACAAGCATTACCCACAAAAGAAACTTCTCTCTGATGCATGTCCATATGAAAACATATTTTTCAACATTTAACACAGTATTTAACACAGTAACCCAGAATTTGTGAGTGCTCAGACCCCACTTCTTTAGCCGTAAGCCCTTTTCATGAACTTGAGAATTCATACCCACCTAGCCTGTTTGCAACAGACTAAAAGGCAGCATGCAACAGATCCAATCCTACCTTTGCCATGATCACTGCAATGTGAGCCAAGGAAATAATTTTTCCCCCATTTTACTATCTTACTTTTCCCATCTTTATAGCGACCATTCTCAAGAAGTAATGAAAAGGCTATAAATAAGTTGCCAAAGAAAGTCAACTCTTTCAGATGTTAACAATGACATGAAGATTCCTGCAATCAAAGTCTCCCACTTCAGATCCCCCTACGGGGCCGTCCCCTTCTCTGGCCCACCACAACCCTCCTACTGCAGGCCACTTACGTCAGCAGTCTTCCAAGCAGGAGCCCCCTTTTCTCCACATCCATGTGGATTTCTGCTATAAAGCTCTTTCAGAAAATAAGTTAATCTGCTTAATTTGCATGTCTAACAGATGTCCAGGGTTTATAAAGTTTTATTTTTTTAGGCTGCTAAAGGGGAGGCAGGAGGCTAGGTGTGGCTAAATGGGAAAAACAGCACCATCCAGAATTTTTTCCCTGAGCAGGACCTTTCTGCAGACAGCATTAATGCATACACGTATTTCATGTACCATTTTTAAAATATGACAGATGTCAATGTACTACTTTTTCAAAATGCACAATAATTGGTGGTAGCGAAGGGTGAGGGACTAGTTGTTGCCATCAGACTGTTCAGTGCATTCCCTCCCTGAAGGAAAGGCATGTAGGAAGACAATTTATAAGGATATCAACATCAGCTCTTAACCACAAAAAAGGCATCTTCCTTTTGTGCAACTACTGAAGAACTAGGCTGCAAAACAACTGGGGCCAACACTGTAAATAAAATTTATGGGTAGGAAACTTTTGGGGAAGGGATGGAGATGTATCAGCCTTCCCCAAACAAAGCTACAAGTGCAACAAAGACCAAGATAACTTTGCTGAGTCTTCGTTTTGACTGGAAAGGCTATCAGTGGGAAGACTAAAGGAATCATCCTCATAGAATTCATACTTGTTGAGTTTTGTAGGGTCTGAGAGACAAAAAAGATCTCCCCCAGCAGACAAAGGGGGAACAACATTTGAGTTGGAGGGAACAGCATAAGCAAGGCTTTGGGGGCACATACCACAGTATACTAGGAAAATAAATAAAAATGAGATGCCTGGTGAGATTCCAGGACAGAGGATAGGATACAGAAGCAGCTGGCAAGAAAGCTGAAAGTACAGATGAGGGTTATATTGCTAAGAAGAATGGACCTTACCATAAGTCTTATGGGACCCTGAGTTTGTTTTCTTTTGTTTTAAGAGGAGAAGTAGCATCATGCCAAGTATGAGATTCTGAGAGTTATTCTGGCAGGGTGGAAGACAGATTTGTGGGAAGAAGGGTGAGAAAGACACTGGAGACACGGAAACCAGTAAGAGCCTGGTGAGAGATGATGGGGCCTTGGATGTCAGCAATGTAATTTTTTTCCTTAGAGGAGGCCATTGTTTATATCCTTGACTGCAGTTAACCAGTCAGCTGCCTACACACCTTCCCACTCCAGCACAAACACAACCAGGAGTAAGGGCACTGATGCCTTGACAGAAACTCAAGTATCCAGTGGAAACTGGGGCATGTGGGTTAGGGGCTGCAGAGAGGGATTTTGCTTCCAGAATCCCTGTCACTGGTGGGTTCTGGGCCTCTGAACAGCCAACTGCAAAACCAGTGAACCCAAGGATCCAAAATGAGAGTGTACACCATTCTTAAGGAGAGACTGCTGAACTCTGCAAAATGCTAGGAGGCTCTCTTGAACAAAAGGGATCTGAAGAAGGTGGCTAAATCCCTATTCCCACATACTGCCCTTCCAAAAAATTATATTCAGATAGGGAAGATGTTCCATTCAGGCCATATAAGTGTTTCTGAGAAGGCATAAAATTAAAAACTATTCCTAGTGGTTGAAGGGCCTGGGAATTGGCAGACGCCACCCATAAAAATACTTTCCAAAACTTCTACGAGAAAATATAAAAGCCCATCTTTATGAAATTTGGATAGGAAATAATTTCTTAAACAAGAAACCTACCAGACAGGAAAAAAATATTTTAAAAATTGACATAGTAAAATAATAGTGGTTCTCAAACTCTTTGCTCTCAGGTTCCTTTACACCAGGGGTGTCCAATCTTTCGGCTTCCCTGGGCCACATTGAAAGAAGAATTGTTTTGGGCCACACATAAAATACACTAACACTAACAATAGCTGATGAGCTTTAAAAAAAAAAAAAAGCAAAATAAACTCATAATATTTTAAGAAAGTTTATGAATTTGTGTTAGGCCACATGCAGCCCATGGGCCGTGGGTTGAACAAGCTTGCTTTACACTACTAAAAATTATTGAGGATGCCCAAAGAATTTGTGTGTTACACCTATCAATATTACCATATTTGAAAATAGAACTAAAAATTTTACATATTTATAATTCATTTTAAAATAACAATAAACCCACAGATGTTAACATCAATGATCACAACACATGCCATATAGCTTCTGTAAACTCAACTATTCACTCATGAAACAATGAGTGCAAAAAAGGCAAACAGGATCTTAGTATGTAATATAGCATCTTAATATGAAAATAATTTCAACCCTGTCAATCCCCTAAAAGGATCTCAAAGGTCCTTGAAAACCACTGCCGTAAGAAAAGTTCAAAAAATCTACAAATTGGGAGAGGATAATCAAGGAAATACAAAATTAAAGCCTTAAGGAGATTCCATTTCATGTCCATCAAACTGGCAAAAATTAACACCTAACAATACCAGTTGTTGTAAAGCATATGGAGATATAAGAATCTTCTTATACATCAGTAGTAGTGTAAACTGGTACAATTACTGTGAAGAATATGCAGAAAGTTGAAGTGCATTTCCAACAATCCGGAACTCTCCTGCCAGGTGTAGATACCAGAGAAATTCTGCACACATGCTTAGGACACATGCACAAGGATGTTCCTTGCAGCATTGTTTTTTTAACAACTTCTTTTCTTTTGTTAACTATTTTTCTTTTTCTGAGATAGGGTCTTGCTCTGTTGCCCAGGCTGGAGTGCAGTGGCACATTTATGGCTCACTGCAACCTTGGCCTCCGGGACTCAAGTGACCCTCTCACCTCACCCTCCCGAAGAGCTGGGATTAAAGGTATGTGCCACCACACCTGGCTAATTTTTGTATTTTTTGTAGAGACAGGGTTTCATCATGTTGGCCAGGCTGGTCTCAAACTCCTGGGCTCAAGCGATCTGCCCACCTCGGCCTCTCAAAGTGCTGGGATTACAGGTGTGAGCCATCATGCCCAGCCGCAGCATTGTTTTTAACAGTGAACAACTGGAGTCGCCCATAGATCCATCAGTGAGAGAATGGTTATAAATATTTTGTTATTAATACAATTATACTGTTACATATCATCACTGCAAATAATTGCAACATATAATTTACAACTATAGTTTGTAATCAATAATTATAAATATATATTTATATAATTATATATAATTATAAATTATGTTACAATATGTAATATACACTTATATTAACACAATGGAATGCTATACTGCAGGTAAAAGAAATGTACTAACATAGCCAAATGTCAAAAGAAATCTTGAGTGAAAAAAGTATGCTACGGAAGGTTACATACTTTTTTTTTTTCCCAAGAGAGTCCCTGGATCTGTTCCATCCAAACACTGTTGAAGCAGGAACACCAAATGCACTGCACATTTTTAAACACATAAAACAATATTCTGTATTTCTTAGGAATACAGGTTTAAGTATCCAAAAACAGAAATGGTTGGAATGATGCACATCAACTTAGGATACTGGTCATCTCTGGAGGAAAAGGTCTGAAGCAAGTATGGCAAAATATTAAATCTGGGAGGCAAGTATCCATGTGTGATTACACTCGTCTCCATTTTTTAAGTTTACAGTGGAACACATTACATGTTTATAAGTGTTAATTCTTTTCGCCTATAGTATTTTTACAATGCCTCCAACCTAAGGCATATCACTTCTTAACAGGGTATTTGGTAACTTGGTGATTGTTTTCTAATCTTTATAACCACCCTAGGTACCATATGGTCACAAAATATAGAAATAAATAATTAGATTCATCAAGACTGCTAAATCCTCTGGCAGATCTGTTTCTACTCACCCCCTGATTGACCATGCAGCTGTCTCCACTGCTGCCACCCACCCCACCCACTCCCCTCTGCAAAACAGTCATCTGAAAGCTAAGCTACCAAACAGGTCTGTAAAAACACTTTTCTTTTTTTTTTTTTTTTTGAGACGGAGTCTCACTCTGTGGCCCAGGCTGGAGCGCGGTGGCGTGATCTTGGCTCACTGGAAGCTCCGCCTCCCAGGTTCATGCCATTCTCCTGCCTCAGCCTCCCAAGTAGCTGGGACTACAGGCGTCCACCACCACGCCCAGCTAATTTTTTTTGTATTTTTAGTAGAGACGGGGTTTCACCGTGTTAGCCAGGATAGTCTCGATCTCCTGACCTTGTGATCCACCCGCCTCGGCCTCCCAAAGTGCTGGGATTACAGGCGTAAGCCACCACGCCCGGCGTAACAGAGTAACATGAGTAACTCTGAGCAAGGCCAGAACTTTGTTTCAAAGGTACTCAGACTCAGTGGGTTTCCCCACCTGCCTTCAAATCAAGCTGGCAGACAGACTGACCCAGGTGCTGTCAGAGTCAACTTAACTTACACAATTTATTATCCACTGTCCCCATTCCTCCTTGGTTTCATCCTAAACACTCTTAGTCCTCTTCTCATCAAGTAAGACCTCTATGATATCAAAACCCAGGTCCCTGGTTCCTAATGCTTTCTGCAACACTAAGGGCATGAGAACACCTTGGGTTATGGTGTTTCTCAAAGCCTGGGCCACCTCACCACCTTCACCATAATAACGGGAGCAGCTGACTGACCAAACAGTTTCTGCCTCTGGAAAGGAACAAATGAAATCTATACCTTTCGGTTCTTCTCTTCAGGCAGGAGACCTTGAGAGGCTGGGGAACTGTTCTACATTATTAGCAAACTTTTAAAGAATGCAGATTGCTGGGCTGTACAGAGATCTACTAAATGGTTCTTTGTGGGCAAAATATGTGGGAATCTCATTTTAAAAAGCACAGTAAAGGCTGTGGGCGGTGGCTCATGCCTATAATCCCAGCACTCTGGGAGGCCAAGGCATGAGGACTGCTTGAGCCTAAGAGTTCAAGACCCACCTGGGCAACATACTAAGATGTCATCTCTAAAAAAACAATTTTTTTAAAAAATAAAAACATTAGCCAGGCATGGTGGCATGCACCTGTAGTCCCAGCTACTCAGAAGGCTGAGGTGGGAAGACTGCTTTAGCCCAGGAGGTGGAGGCTGCAATGAGCCGTGATTACCCACCACACTCCAATCTGGGAAACAGAGCAAGAACCTGTCTCAAAAAGGAAAAAAAAAAAAAGAAAAAGCACAGTAAAGTTGGAGGAGCATCACCCCAGAGGATACTGGTTTTCTAAGTCTGAAGAAGGAAACAAACCTTACCACCTTCTTTGTATCCCCGAGTCTGAGGTAGTCATATAGGAACCAAAACTCCTCCTCACCTCTCTCTTGGTTTGAGTATTGCCTTTCCACCATGCCCAATTCAAGTCTTGGCTCTTCTGGGGAAGCCTCCCTAGACAGACATCAGGGTTAATTCTCTTCTTTCTAATAGCATTCAGTACCTGAATCACTCAAGGGCAACTAAGATGAATTGTCTTATCTTTTCCCCCCATTAGACTGTGAGACCCTGACTTCCTTGTACAAGACCCAATGCATACATAATAGGTTCTTAACACTTAAGTGGTTGAAGTCATACTAAAGACAATAGCATGGGAAGTCAGCGTTAAAAACAAAACCAAACCATCAAACAAAACAACATAGTACAAAAAGCAGAGCCAGGCATGGTGACTCCCACCTGTAATCCCAGCCACTCAGGTGGGAGAACAGCTTCAGGCCAGGAGTTCTAGACCAGCCTGGACAACACAGTGAAACCTCATCTCTAAAAATAATAACAATAATAAACAAAAAGTATTTGATTTGTAATGGGAAGGCCTAGGTTGAATTCTGGCTTTGTCCTTTACTGGCTGTGATGGTTTACCGTGAGGACAACAATATGACATGATATACAAGCAAGTGTTTGTACATCTTGTCAACTGCCAATAGTGATTAGCTGTTGCAGCTATTGCTACCTGCTATTTCTCTGACATCAAGTGGTGGTTCATATTATTTATTCCTCTTCAGGCCCAAGAAAAAAAAAAAGCACAGAAACTGAAGTTGCAACTATAAAAACAGATAGAGAAAGAAAGCCCCAGAGACTACAGTTCCCAAGGTTTGAGTTTAGCCACCATCCTGCTGGAATCTCACCTACCTAGTCCTCTGGACGTCCACCAGGGCCAGGAGGAGGTGCTGGGAACACACTCAGTTACTAGGACAGTGCCTGGCACACACCCCAGGCAGTCTGTAAATGTTGAGTGATGAAAATGAGTAATGAAAAGCTTGCATATATATTGCCTGGGATAAAAAGAGAATTCTCATGGGGACCCTCTTCCACCTGCACACCAAGAACTAAGCAGTTTTATAGAAGCAAGGTGAGCAAAACTGAGGCCCCCAGGTAGGTGTGAACTTAAGCACGGCAACAGTCTCAGCTTCTGGAAACAGTGTCAAAGCCAGTCATTAAAACCATCTTCAAACCATTCTTCCAGTAAATGAAAAAGCTGAGTGCAGTTTCCAGTTGTCTCAGATTAAAGCAGAGGGGTGGGGGGGAAATGAGAAACAGAGTCAGGGTTTCCAATTACTGCTAACAGGAGGGTGTTCAGAAGGGAGGAAATTAATGAAATCATCAAAAGCCTGCTGATTTTACTTCAAATGAATCAAATCAACTTTAATCTTCCCTGTTTCAACAGAGACTTCAGGCTAGTCAGTGCCTGAGCTACCTGAAAGTTGCCCAGGCTGGATCAGAGGGGCTAAGTAACAATTAACCAAGGCCGAAAAATTTGTTTTGCCCCTTCAGATAGAGGCTGAAAAGACAGGGCCAGGCAGGCTGTACTAACTCTAATTCTCTCCAAGCCAGGAGTCTTCTGGCTTGCCAATACAAACACCATCAGGCTCTGGTGGGAAATAAAGGCTGAAAACGGGGTCAAATTCAATCTGAAGAACAGCAAATTCCCCTAGGACAGTGAAAACATTCCCAGCTACCCTAGACAAAGTGGGCAGAAGAGACAAGGAGGAAGAGTGGGGAGCTCTGGAGGAACCCCTCACATAGATGGCTTGCATAGGGTGTTTTATGATTGTCTTGTGTATACTTTTAACCCCCAAAGCACTCGACGTACATGCTAGCTCTGCCAGAGTGCTGAGGAGTAAAAATGAGTACAAAGGAAGCAGGGAAGGAAGGATGGAAGCGAGGAGGGCAAAGGAAGACAACTGTACCAAGTTAAGAAGAAGCGAGAAAAGAAGAGGTAGCTGGATACAACCGCTTATTCCATCCATCCAGTAAGCATGCACACAGGCCTACCATGAGCCACACACTGTGCCAGGCAGTGGGGAATGTCGAATAACAATCCTGAGCACCCTGGAAACCAGAGCTGATCAGACAGCCTGTGAAGCTGGCAGTGGGGTAAGATAGGCAGGCACGACAGTGATGCAGTCATTCTCTCTGTAGGCAGGTGTTATGGCAGCAGCACAACTGCAGGTGCCAATGACTCCAAAAAGAAAAGTTATTCTCTCCAATTCCCAAACTTGTCTCTAGTTTCACTTTTGGCGAGCCAGTCTCTGGATGGGATTCTGATCAACAGAAGTTCTCATACACGGAAAAAATAAAAAACAAGTAACAAGCCAGCAGAAGTTCCTGACCCTGAGGAGGAAGCTGTCAGGGTAAATCATTAAAGAACCCAGAATATCAGAGCACAAAAGGCACCAGAGAGCTAGTCCACACTCACATTACCCTTGAGTAACATGAGGTGCCTTCAGTTACTGTCCATTAGAGGCAGTGCTAGGGCCGATGCCCAGGACCCCGGCTCAGGGTCCCGTTCTTCATACCACAGAGCCCAGACTGAGGAAAGGCATCCGAAAATGCAGACTTTTAGAACTCACTGCTGCCTCAGGGGGCAGAATAGGAAATGAAAATGATCCAGCCCCGGGGCTCACCAGGTCTGGCTCCTTGCTGTAGGGTAGTATGCAAGGACCAGACCAGCATGGAGAAGAGATACATCTGCCAGCATCCTCCCTTAACCTCTTCTCAGTTTTATTAGGTTGGCCCACCTGCAGTAGCCTATTTCTGAGAGGGCCACTTGTCTCCCTAGTGGGTTCAAGATTTCTCCACCCACTCTGTCCTCACCTCAGCAAAATTTGCTCTGAAAAGAGTCAGACAGGTTTTTTTCAGCCCAAGTATAAATTGGTGGTTCTCAAAGTTTGGTCTTCAGACCAGCAGCAGCTGCTGCTTCATGTCTACCAAGTTCTTCTTTAGGGAACTTGGTAGACATGCACATTTTTAAACCACATCCTAGACCTACTGAACCAGAAACTCTGGGGATGGGACCCAGCAATCTGTGTTTAACAAGCCCTCTAGAGGAATCTGATGCTAGCTCAAATTTGAAACTCACTAGTGCAAATAACCTCCAAGGTCCAGCCTGTTGGTTCTCTCATGAGTATGTGCCTCTTCACTGGCACACCTGAATGACCTCTAGAGTTT
Organism: Homo sapiens; assembly: GCF_000001405.40. Lineage (NCBI taxonomy): Eukaryota > Metazoa > Chordata > Mammalia > Primates > Hominidae > Homo > Homo sapiens. The sequence continues at coordinate 69,673,114 of NC_000014.9, read as the reverse complement.
CAAACCTGGGAGCCCACACATCTGCCACTGGAGGAAGGAGGAACTTCCCAACTCAGTATATCCTCCTCCTGCTTCCAGGGTTCAAGACTCTGTGCAAGAGAGTACAAAAGGTGAGGACGGAACTGCCCTTTAAGCCTTGACCAGAGGCAGGGAAGTACAAGCTTGGAAAAAGGTCCTGATGACTCTGAATGGCCTCACCTAGTACTGTGAACAAAACAGGACCTTTTCATGCCAGCTCTAGGCTGGTGAGACCAGCCTTCGGAAGGGACACAGGTGGACCAATGCACCTAGGCCTTTCCTTGACTGGAGAGTCGGCCTAAGGCTGATCTGCTCAGATCCCACCCTGCCAAACTGGACTGCAATACTTGGTCTGCAGCAAAACTGGCCTGAGCAGGACACTCGGGGGTGCTCTGTGAAGTTTCAACATGAGACCTGAAGAATACACCAAGCACCTGCTGTGGGTCCCCCTGACACTTCCTGGTACACATCAGAGGGGAGAGTGTGTTCCCACTGCCATGTGCCAGGCAGTTAGCACTGTGATGCAGAACCTGGCATCTCAAGTACTTCCACCACAGCCTAATAGGACAGAATGAAGAAATCTGCCAGCCCCCTCTCTGCTTCCCTGTTCTTTGCCCCAAAGCTGCTCTTCTTAGCCTTCTGCTTCTCCAGCTCCTATCAAGTTTCATTTCCAGCAGGAACTCTGGCTTCTCAGAGGAAAATGACTGACTGACTTCTAGGTCATTCAAAATCCTGACTATGACAGCCTTGTCTGACATGACCAATTATTCATGAAAAAAAAAATTTTAATGATCCCTCCTCTCTCTTCTCACCTTCTTTATTCCCAGGAATGAGGCATTATCACATTTAGAAGTCCAAGCTTTAGATTTCGATTCCATAGGTTTGGGCTTCAAGCTCAAGATGTGGGGGTTTGTTGGAAACTTGTGTTTGATCTTGCATACAAAGGGGGGCTATTAAATGCCAGCCTCCAACCAGGGATGGATGGTGGATTAACCAGTTAGTGTTAACGAAGTGCTCTGAGCAATTCAGAAAAGAGATGCTGACTGAAAAAATAGTATTATAATAATCCATTCCATTGAAATAGACTTTTATTGTTTACCCGGGACTTTTACATATATTATCTCACTTAATCCTATTATTCACAATCTTAACTATTCCTCCAAGGCCAGGGTCTGCGTTACTGGTGACAGATTTTCTGAATGCCAGAGAGAGGAGCCAGTTGAACAGCAAAGCCTCTAAACTGCCTAACAACAAGGTATTGAGAACAATAGCACCAAGAAAGGGTTCCTTTGCTGAAAGCCACTCAAAGAAACCTGAGACACATCTCTGCTGGAAGTCACAATAGTTCTCTGCACCCCTGAACACATCAAATCACAGACAGTCCTCACCCCAACTTCTCCAATTACCCCAGCCTGATCCAAGAGGACAAATCCTGGAATACATCTGAAGGGCCCAGACGCCAGCTGCTCCTCCACTCTTCTCCCTTCCCCAAGCAATTAAGAACCTCTGACACCCTCCAGCCTCCCCATGGAATTTGTGACGCCAGATAAGACCCACATGGGACCCCACGCGGTACATCAGACTTGCTGAAATAAGGAGTCTTTGTCAGACATGCCTCCTACGAGTTGGCTGAACTGAGGCCAGGTGATGAGAGTCAAGAAGCATGCACTCCTGTGGCCTGTCCTGAGTGACCTCTTCCCTCGGACCAGAAGGGCAGCCTCACCTAGCCCATCACTTCCTGTCCCATAGGCAAATAGGTGCCCACTGCTATTCTTCTCATCCCCAATCCTCTCCCACAAATTGTACCTAAAATTAACATCCTCCTTCCAACCCTCTTTCCTTTCCTGTTTAGACTCATTCAACTTCTTGATTCATTAGCTAGAGTTTGTTTTTTCTTTAACTCTTTGATCCTTAGGATACTCCAAGAGAGCTTGTTTCTCTTCTTCCTCCTCCTCCTCCACAATTCTGACAATTCAGCCAGGACAGGCACCTGCCTCCACTAGCAGCATCTCAGTCCTATCTGGGTGCTTCCTCAAACTGTGCTTTTGGTGTGCTCAACCTAAATCCCTGAATTCTTAGGCTAAGGTTAGACTTTATTTTTCTTTTTTGAAACTACAGCTACTGAACATACTCCACCAGAGTGAAAGAGAACACTTCTTCATTCACAGGGCAAGAAACAAATTAGTTTAGGGAATACAGTATATTGGACATCCAAAGTTTCAACAGTGACATGGGAAGTTCCCAGGAAAGGAAGTGCTGAGATGAGCAGAGCAGACACCATACTCTCTTCCTCTCCTCCCTCCAGACTCCCCGCAACAGCGGGCTGTACCTGCCACTGGCAAGTGCCACATTTTAACAACGATGATGATAACAGCAACATTTCATCTTCACCACAACCCTATATGGTATGTACGTTATCATCCCAATTTTACAGATATGAAGAACTGAGGGACGTAGAGTTCGAGAAACTTGCTTAAAATTACACACTACTGGCAGAACTAGGATTCAAACCAGCGTGTCTGGCCCAAGGCACTGCCTTCTTCACCTGACTATGCCACCTTGTCTCCCCATACTCGTTAACTCACTTGCCTTTAGATCTCAGTGTAGACTTCTCTCCCTCAGAAAAGCCTTCCATGACCAATTCAAGCTGAGTCAGGAGACCCCCTAATGAGTATTCCTGTGTAGTGCAGTACTTTCCTGATTATAGCATGTATCACATGGAATTGTTCTATTTTCAGTAGCTGGCACAGTCTTGGCATTCAGCAGGAATTCAACGAGTACCTGTGGAATAAATCAGAGTGCTAAACCATAACTCTGCATTCCTCCAGTGCAGAGCACAGTTCCTGGCTGCTGCTGCCCTCCTCTCACAGGCTTACTACATATGATTAACTTCTGTCAAGATCCAGCCTAGTACCTCATCCCCAGAAAGCCCTCTGTGGCATTACATAGCTCCTGCCCACCTTATGTCAACACATACTTGCTTAAGGAGTTAACACTCATGAAAATACAAAACCCAATCTGCCCCACAGCAACCCTACCAAAACCCAGGGTCATTAGGGTTTGGAGCAAGGTCTATAGCGTTCATGTACCATGATGTACAGAACAAAAGGTTCAAGTTCCCCAAAGCTGCAATTACCAGAGGTCATAAAAAGCTGGCCAATCCTTTCAAATCAAAGTCAGTCAAGATTCTAAGAGTTGGAATCCTGCTCCTAGGAAAACCTGTCTGACATCCTCCCAAGAGAAAGAACTACGACTAGGAGCTCTTGTTAATTCCATTCAATAAACACACACAAAGCCCACTCTCCTTCCTTCAGACCCTATTAATTCTAGTGGTAAGAGAGATGGGTGATGTTCCACAGAAGAAGCTAAGTTGGACTTTGAAGGATAAAGAGAAGTATGGGAGGAAAAGGCAGGAGGTAGAATTCTAGCCACAGGAAGAACCAGGTGAGAATAAGCTTGAAGATGTTTAGGGGAGAAGGAGTTGTCCCTTAGCCTTGATCTTTAGAAACAGACGTAGAGGTAGAGGAAGCTGTGGCTGCAAAGGCAGTAGGCAAGAAAGTGAAGCCAAACCCCACCCAAGTGGCACTCTCATGCCCCTCTCTAATGTCAGGATATGTTTACAGCCAGCATGATTTCCATATACATTCCTCCTTCACTTCCCACTGGTAATGAAAGCGTACCTTTCCTCCCTCCTTGAACTAGGCAATTCTTACTCTGCTATAAAGAAATACTTGAGGCCAGGAGCACTGGCTCAGGCCTGTAATCCCAGCACTTTGGGAGGCCGAGGCAGGTGGATCACGAGGTCAAGAGATCGAGACCATCCTGGCCAACATGGTGAAACTCCGTCTCTATTAAAAATACAAAAATTAGCCAGGCATGGTGGCACATGCCTGTAATCCCAGCTACTTGGGAGGCTGCGGCAGGAGAATCGTTTGAACCTGGGAGGTGGAGGTTGCAGTGAGCCGAGATCGCGCCACTGCACTCCAGCCTGGCGACAAAGCGAGACTCTGTCTCAAAAAAAAAAAAAAAAAAAAGAAAAGAAAAGAAAAAAAATACTTGAGACTGGGTAATTCATTAAAAAAGAGATTTTTTTTTTTAACTGGCTCACGGTTCTGCAAGCTGTACAGGAAGCATAGTGGCATGTGCTTCTGGGGAGGCCTCAAGAAGCTTTCAATCATGGTGGAAGGCAAAGAGGGAACAGGCACATCACATGGTGAGAATGAGAACGAAAGGGAGAAAGTGGAGGTGGGGAGGGGGTGCTACATATTTTTAAACCACCAGATCTCATGTGAACTCAGAGAGCTCACCATCAAGGGGATCGCCCAAGCCATTCATGAGGAATCTGCTCCCATGATCCAAACACCTCCCACCAAGCCCCAACTTCAACACTGGCAATTACAATTTAACATGAGATTTGGTAGGGGTATACTTTCTTTCTTTTCCTTTTCTTTTTTTTTTTTTGAGACGAATTCTTGCTCTTATTGCCCAGGCTGGAGTGCAGTGATGCAATCTTGGCTCACTGCAACCTCCACCTCCCAGGTTCAAGCGATTTTCCTGCCTCAGCCTCCCAAGTAGCTGGGATTACAGGTGTGCATCACCACGCCCGGCTGATTTTTGTGTTTTTAGTGGAGACAGGGTTTCACCATGTTGGCCGGGCTGGTCTCAAACTCCTGACCTCAAATGATATACCCGCCTCAGCCTCCCAAAGTGCTGGGATTACAGGCATGAGCCACTGCACCCAGCTGGGGATATACTTTCAAACTATATAACTCTTCATCACCTAACAGGATCCACACTGGGTTCGAAATCCTCACCCAAGCTAAAGGTAGCATACTCTGCAACGTACTCTTCTAGGCAGGTTGCCTGGGCCCTCTCTTTTCTCCACAGAAGAGCCCCACCACCTGCATCCCTGAGGCATGAAAACACTTTCACGTGCTCCTCCACTTCCTCCCCAGAAGGCTGGGGACAGAATACTATGAGGAACCATCACTCAGTGGGAAGCCCCCACACACTGCTACTGCTCACTGGGCCCTGGACTTGCTCCTGCTTTCCTCACACAGAGGACAAGCCATGATTCTGGATCATCCTATGGGGTAAACCCACCTATGGAGTACCTTTCCCACAATGCGTGTGTTGGATCTACTGGGATGATCACTGGCCTGGCTGTAGCAAAGGAGCAACATAAAAAGGATTTTGTCTCTGTGTTCAACGAGCTTATATGCAAACACATATGGAATCAAGAACAAAGAACAAGAATCAAAAACAAAGAGCAAAACCAAAGAAATAAAACCGAAAGCAGTGTGTACAGATATCAAAGCTCAGAGAGGTGTGTGAGAGGTATAAAACAGAGAGCCACACAGCCTACTGAAGGGCTCCAGCTAACTTCATGGGCCGCTAATCAGAAACTGAGCAACCGCCAGGCACAGTGGCTCACACCTGTAGTCCCAGCACTTTGGGAGGCTGAGGCGGGCGGATCACAAGGTCAGGAGATGGAGACCATCCTGGCTAACACGGTGAAACCCCGTCTCTACTAAAAATACAAAAAAAAAAAAATTAGCTGGGTGTGGCGGCGGGTGTCTGTAGTCCCAGCTACTCGGGAGGCTGAGACAGGAGAATGGCGTGAACCCAGGAGGCGGAGCTTGCAGTGAGCCGAGATTGCACCACTGCACTCCAGCCTGGGCGACAGAGCGAGACTCCGTCTCAAAAAAAAAAAAAAAAAAAAAAAAGAAACTGTGAGCAACCATGCACAGTTATCAAGGAGCCTTAGTGGGGCTGCACTGGCTGAAGACTCCACTGGGTCATTTGCAATCCAGCCTCTGGATCATAATGAGATCAACAGGGAAAAAGAGAAATCCAAGACTTTTCTCCTATCTGCCACCAAACCCCTCTGTGCCTAGACCAGTGCTCAGGAAACACTGACAGGCTGATCCTCATACCCACTCAGTCATAGTCTAGTGTGCAACAATCCCAATGACATTCTCTGGTGCCTCTTACCATAGCCAGGGTCAACAAGGCCGAATCATCAGAAGCCAAGCCAGTGACAATAAACACAAAGGTCCCGCCCTCTCCCAAGGAGACATGTGTCTACTACATGGGAAGAATTGATCAAGCCCTTTGTATTTCATAGAGTGTCACTTGTTACTCAGAATAACAAAGGATGAAGCAGAATTATTTTATAGCCCTGTTTTTACTTGGTCATAACTTCCTGAAACACATTTTGTGCCCCCTCCCCACTGAAATACCAAAAATACTTTTGTGATTTAAAAAGAATGAAAAAAAAAACTTGGCCAAGAAATCTTGAAGACAATCTGTTTACCTTCCCTGCACTACTTCCCAGAATTTTGGATGACTAAACAATTCTCCTTTAAAAGATCTGGTTACTGGCAAAGCTAATAAGTCAAAGAAGTTAAACAAGAAAAAAATCTCCATCACCAGGGATGCCAATAAATCTAGGTAGAAAGGGGCTCCTAAAAGAAGAAATACCAATATAGCTACGAAAAGCAAGAGGAAGCAAAAGGACTACCAAATGGGAAAAAGATATTTCTTATTTTTTAATTCTAATGTTATATTCTCCCAGTTGTGTTTTGGAATCATGTAAAATGCAACCTTCCAATCACATCACTGTGCTGACGAAATAAAAAATGTCTTTAAAAGAACAGATCCTTGGCATTCTCATATTTAATATGTAAAGTTTCAAAACTGACTCCAAATGTTCCTAACAAATAGCATCCCTGAGGAATATCAGCTCTGAAATACCAACAGGGTAGCCTCCCTGAAGAGAACAAATAGTTCACAGTGAGATCACTTAGCTGATCTCACTCCAGCACCAACATCTCAGAAGGGCATTTACCACTCTTTGCTACTCGTCTTCATGTATGGGAAACCAACATGTGTTATTTGAGAATTTAGGGACTCAGAAAACCTCACGAATATCAAGGATCTAACTCTACTCAGTATGCACTGAATTGATTCAAACAGAATCCAAGAGATATGGAAGAAACAGGGAGCACGTTCCAACCTGAGTCTGTCTGAACCAAGCAGCTGTGGTGTCATAAAACCAGAAGTGTGGAATGATATCAATTGGTGCTAGGATCTGATCTTCCAATATGGGAATATTTATTTGTGTACCGAGCAATGTTCCAAATGCCTTACATATACTATCTTATTTGATCCTCACTACAATCTTATAAAGCAGACATTATCATCCCCATTCTGGTGAAATACAGACAGTGAAGTCACAAAAATTATCCAAGGCAACACAAGCAGCAAGGAATGCAAGCAGTATTCAACCCAGACAATCTGACTCCAGAGTACATGCTTTTCATCAGACTATGCAGTCATTCCAAAAAACAAGGTGAAGAGTTGAAGCATAATGGTACCTAGATATAATACTCAGTTATACTCATGATCTCAGTGGCTCCATGAGAGCTGCAGGTGGTATTTACTATTTTGAGGTGTACATGAATTGAATCCCACTCCACCTCATAAGAGACAGCTATGTGAAGAAATCCTAGGGACAATCCTGTTCTTAAAAAGTTATAGTCAGTCAGGTGCAGTGGCTAATGCCTGTAATCCCAGCACTTTGGGAGGCCAAGGCGGGTGGATCGTTTGAGCCCAGGAGTTCAAGACCAGCCTGGGCAAACCCAGCAAAACCCATCTCTACAAAAATATTTTTAAAAAACTAGCCAGGTGTGGTGATGCATGCCTATAGTCCCAGCTACTCAGGAGGCTAAGGTGGTGAGGCGGGAGGATCACTTTAACCCAGGAGGCAGAAGTTGCGGTGAGCTGTGACAGAGCCACTGCACTCCAACCTGGGCAACTGAGTGAAACCCTGTCTCAGAAAAAAAAAGTTATAGTCACACCCTCATCTTTCAGTGAATTCGGATTTTCATGTGTTAAATTAGCTGAAGATGAGGTCGATGAACAGGGCTGGAAAGAAGTCAGCAGCCAGGGAACTCCTCATTCACATTGCACCATGGAAACGTTATCTCTAAATGTTTCTGTCCCTCTGGGCCCCAAAGCTAAATCTGAGGCAGGCCAAGGTCTCTCCTGATCTGATCCCAGTCCAGGCAGCCAGGCACACCAGCACAGGCCACCTGGAAGGGCTCCTCACACCCTCTGCAGGCTCCCACTCCCAAGTGATGCACTGCACTCTTCCAGTGGGTAAGAAGTGGTGAGAGGTGTTCATCTGGAAACCTACCTAGAATCATTGAAGACTGAGTGTTAACCCTAATTTTTGTTTTATTAGCATCCTGTGCCTCTCTTTTGCAGAAAGTCGGGTAGGTAAGAAGAATAACCTCTAAGCTGGCAAGTTAGCAGGGTAGTGGGGCACCATTGCTCAGCAGATGGAATCTGTGTTTAATGAGGACTTTAACCCAATAGGGACCCAGTTACGTGGACTCTGGGTTTCTTTTATTAGAAAGTTACAGTGCGAGGGTGGTACCATGTGTTGTCAATGTTTTAAACATGGCACAACAATTAGTGTGCAGAGGGTAATTTCTCAATGCCTTTTCATGACACTAGGGTTCATCGAGAACTATAATGACCCATCCAGCCTCCTACCATAATCTCTAAGTTTTTTTTATAGTCACAGGTAATTACACCATGGAGAGATTACATCACTTTCATCAACAGGGTTTGCAGCTGACAGGAAGATGCTTTGCGGATGTTTTGGGAACTATATCCTCATTTAGCAAACTATTTACTACGTCCCTATTGTTCCTTTCCAAGAATAGAACCACCTTGGCAAACCTTGTGCCTAAACTGGAACCAAACAACCAAGAGCCACTGTAGATGAGAACAGAAACAACCACAGAGGGCCAGGCGCAGTGGCTCATGCCTGTAATCCCAGCACTCTGGGAGGCCGAGGTGGAAGGATCATGAGGTCAGGAGATCGAGACCATCCTGGCTAACACTGTGAAACCCCATCTCCACCAAAAAATACAAAAACATTAGCTGGGCGTGGTGGCGGGCGCCTGTGGTACCAGCTACTCGGGAGACTGAGGCAGAAGAATGGCGTGAACCTGGAAGGTGGAGCTTGCAGTGAGCCGAGATCGCGCCACTGTACTCCAGCCTGGGCAACACAGTGAGATTCCATCTCAAATAAAAAAAAAAAAAAAGAAACAACCATAGTGGGAAACATGGTGACCCAGAGATGACTCTTGTATCCTTTTTATCCATCAGGAGAAAACATCATCTCTTTCTTCCTCCATCAGAATAATTTTCTGGAGGCTGATCTGAGCACTTCAAACAGGAAATACAAAAAACAGGTCTCAGTGAAGCCTGTCACTCAGCACAGGTAGCGTGGCTCCCAGAAAAGACCATAGGCAAGAGTCAGACATACTGAGCACAAATCCCAGCCAGCCTCACCACTTAAAATCATCAGTTTCTGAACAAGTTATTGAACCTGTCTCTGGTTCAGTTTCTCCTTTATAAAATGGTTGCACAACTGCCTAGCTGGGGTGTTCTGAGAGCTTTATATGGAACGATAACAGAGCCTGACACATAAGTGATGCTCTATACACATTAGTTTCCCATTTGTTTTCTCCTCTCAACTCAGTGTACATTCTCTCTGACTCGAGGGTCCTTCCAAGATGAGGTGAGCCAGGGCCACCTGCCAACATCTCTCTGCTACAGGCTAAAGCCAAGTCATCTCCCAGAGAACCTAGTTCTCAACACTTTCCATTTTCAATGAAAACTAACTGCCTGGCTTTCTGTCATGTAGAAATGCAGATGGCTGTTTTCCCTGCTATTCTAAAATTGTTTTAGGTGATTGTGTGATGTTTAACACGGCCTAACATGTCATGGCAACATTTTAAGGGGAAAAAAATCAGAAACAAGTAAAATACTGAGTTTGTTTAGTAAATAAGCTCAGGAAAGAAAGAGAATGCAAACAAAAACTTTTTATGAGTCAGCAAGCCAGTTGGATTAAGATCAAACTATGCAAACATGAGCTTTCTGGAAAGCAATGGGGATTCCTGAAGTAAATTAATCCCTCCTTACTGGTCAAATTTGATAACTGCTCCAAAAATCTCTTATCCCCAACTCAAACAGTACTTTGCACCTTAAGTTTTGTGTTTCAATGACAGCAAAGAATATCAACTGCATAAAAAGTCTACTGCACCTTGTAACTCAACAGTAGGTCACATACCAATTCTGTTGTTGTTATTTGGGAATTACATCACACACTTCATTTTATATGCCAAGTGCCTGCCTTCCAATCATTTTTATTAGTCTACACAACACCAACTTAACATTCTTAAGGATTATTGTTTCTGTTTTGCAAAAGACACAAAGAGGTCATGTGATTTGCCTCAGGTCATACAGCAAGTTTCTTAAGACTACAGGTAAAATGAAAGACTTGGAGACCTGAGAAAGGCTGCTACAGAGAAAAGATCTTAATTCCGCCTAGTCCAAGAAAGGCAAATTGGATAGCATGTGCATAGATTTTATTTTTAATTCTGGTCTATCCACTGCATGGTGTGACTAGGTGTGAAGAATAAGATACGCCTCCTTTTGCCACTCTTAAAAAGGAAACTTATCAATAATTCTCCCCATTTAAAGGAATGACCAAAGGAAAGCTGGACCCAATGCCTCTCTAACACCTTTTCTGCTATAACTGCAAATCTCGAGCTGTAGATGAGAGAAACCAGTATGGAAACTGAACTTTAAACATGATGTAATTTTACTCCAGAACTCTCAAGTACCTGATTCTTCCTACCTTAGACTGTGATCAAAACTGTGATATTTGATGATGAGATGATACAGATTATGATGACTGTGGTATCTACGACCAGAGACGATGCAGACAAATTGTCTCCAGAGGATGCCCAGTTACCTATGTCTAGTGGTATTCTCAGAGTCATGAATGTGCCTGTACACACGCATATAGCCAGGGTCTACTACAGCCCACTGGATAGCAAGGCTGTATATTTTACAAGCACCCACTTAAAAATGTCTCTGAAGTGGGTGTTCAGGAGCAGCTATAAGAACAGGTAAGAAATGCAAGAAGGAGGCCAGGCGCAGTGGTTCACACCTATAATCCCAGCACTTTGGAAGGTAGAGGGGAGAGGATCACTTCAGCCCAGGAGTTCGAGATCAGCCTGGGCAACATAAAAAATTTTTTTTTAATTAACTGGGCATGGTGGTGCATGCCTATGGTCCCAGCTACTCAGGAGGCTGAGATGGGAGGACTGCTCCAGCCTGGGAGGTCAAGGCTGCAGTGAGCTATGATTGTACCACTGCACTCCAGCCTGGCAACAGAGTAAGACCTCATCTCTAAAACAAATAAAAAGAAAAAAGAAACACAAGAAGAGGAAAAGAGGCTTTTCCTGAATTAAACTGCCTTTCCTCGGCTTCAGAGTATCTGAGATCCTGGTTTCTGGACAAGCCTGCTTGGCATGCTGCTTATGCCAGGCACGGCCATACAGGTGTGCTTTGGGTTTCAGGCCTAGAAAGGGCACCTACTCCCCTAGAAGCTACTCCAAAGAAAGGGAAAAACATTGGTAGCAACTTAGTACACAGGATCTAAGCAAAGGTGAACCCCTTTCCCCTGCCAGTACACATGTTTTATGGGGAGTAGAAAAGACTTGGAGGTTGGGGTGGCAGGGAAGGAGCATTCTTTCAGGTGGGGGAGGGGAAAGAAAACAACAGAGCCAACTTTCCCATCCTGGTCTGAGCCCACACTATAAACAGACACATTTTTCCACAGTGGAAAATAATAATCCCTTTATCCAGCCAGTATGGAACCTGATAATGGATTTCGGATCTTGAGTGGGAAGCTGGGAAGGTGTGGGTAGTTGGAAAATGAGGTGGGGAATGGGAGGGATGAAGCCAACAAAAGGGAGGTTAGGGGTAAATAGGATAGCTTAATGACACTAGAGAGGCTTAAGGCAGACATTATGCCACTAACACCACACGCCAGGGCAGTTTCCTTAGAGGAGCCTTGGAAGAGGCAGGTCACAGTGGTATGCCAGGCACCAGGCTAGGTCCTGGCCCTACCATTAGCTGTGAGATTCTGGGCAGCAAGTGCACAGTTCTCTGAAGCCCAAGCTGGTTTTGACTAGGCCTTCCTTCCTTCCTGCTCTGACAGTCATTCCATTCACATGCATACTTATTGAGCACCATTTGTTCTGGGCTGGGGAAGAACCTCTTTTACAAAGACCCAAATATTTTAAAGCCTCAACATTTTAGGCTTTTCAGGCCACATGGTCTTTGTCATAACGACTCAACTCTGCCACTGCAGCACAAAAGCAGCCATAGACAATATATACATGAATGAGCACTGCTGTGTTCCAATAAAACTTTATAGACATTGAAATTTAAGTTTCATATACATTTTTACATGTCATGAAATATCTTTCTGATTTTTCCAACCATTTAAAAATATAAACAGTTAACTGGAAGGTTCTACAAAAGCAGATGGCAGGTAGGATTTGGCCTGTGGGCCAGTTTGCCAACTTCTGCTCTAAAGACACAGTGGTGAATAAGAGAGTCAACCACACTCTGTGGTTCTGCAACTAGCACTTCTAGAGGCCTCCTCTGGTTTTGGGGTGACCCTATGAAAGGAGGCTCTGCTTCATTTTGTTGCACATTGGTATAGCCTGGTCTTCTCTTCCTTTGAAACCTCATATAACCATGATGGCCACATTGTGGGGTCCCAATCATCATGGCCCCCTGGGCTGTGCCAGGGGCTCCTCATGCCTAGGGGGAAAAGGCTTGGGTTAAGTGTCAGAATAGGGTGGAAGGAAAGGCACATCTATATGTTGGTAGTGGAGAAGGCTACAATGAACAAAAAAATCTGTAATTGTTTCTTCCAACAATTCAGAAAAGAAAAGAAAAAAAAGATTAGCTGAGACTGTGCCATTATCTGTTTATGTTGGATAAGTGGGTGGTGGGAGCTGATAGAGAATGAAAGAAGTAGCACTAAACTATGGAGGCTCTACAGCCACAATATACCACTCCCCTACTGTCCCCACCAAAGTCCCCTTCCAGGATCTAGTTCTGAGATCCCTCTCCAGGAAGCACTGGACAAGGAAACTGCCATGTATGTGTTTCTAACAAAGTCCAGTAGGAACACCAGTATTGGTGAGTTCAATGATGATTCTGGAGTGTAGACACAGAGGTAGGTTGTGGCACACCACCCAGAGGCCTACCGTACACACCCAAACATGTCCTTTAAGGACATTTTGTCTAGAAGATCACACAAAGACTGCCTAGAAGGGTCTCTGGAGCACTGTTGAAGGCAACAAGGGCTGTACAAACTCAAAAAGGTTCAATGGGCCGAGCACGTGGCTGACGCCTGTAATCCCAACATTTTGGGAGGCCAAGGTGGGTGGATCACCTGAGGTCAGGAATTCAAGACCAGCCTGGCCAACATGGTGAAACCCCGTCTCAACTAAATAATAAAAAAATTAGCTAGGTGTGGTGGCATGAGCCTGTAGTCCCAGCTACTCGGGAGGCTGAAGCAGGAGAATCGCTGGAACCCGGGAGGCAGAGGTTGCAGTGAGCCACGATCGTGCCACTGCACTCCAGCCTGGACAACAGGGTGAGACTCTCTGAAAACAAACAAACAAACAAACAAACAAACAAAAAGGCTCAATGGGGCATGTCTAGCCCCTGCTAGGGCCCGTCCAGCTCACCATCTTCAACCACAAAGTCCTTAGAATCATCAAAGCATTTACTGAGGGGCAAAGAAGTGACTTTAAATGTTATTCCAGGTAAACCCATTCATCTGATGGAGGGAAAAACTGAGCCCTAGAATGGTTAAGTCGCTTGCCCAAGATCACAACATTTGTAGTGTCAGTGACCGGGTCTTATTTTCACTAAATTACAATACTTCAACTACCCACTCATTCTGAGAAAAAGCGCAGAAAGACGAACAAACAAAAGACAGCTAACAATCATTACATACTTATTTTATTACCTCAATCTTCACAACCACCCAGTGAGGTAGGTATTATTATTATCCCATTCTGCAGCTGAGGAAACAGAGCCTTGCAGCAGTAAAATAACTTGTTCAGAGTCACAGGGCAGGCAAGTAGTGAGAATGGGCACTGAACACAGGCAGTCTGATTCCAAAGTCTGTCCCCTTAACCTGCATATTGTGCTCTGAACCTTACACCTCTGTCCTCCTGATGATGATTATGGCTGGGGGAGAGGGGTGACAAGGTTACCACCAGCAGGCTCCCACACGCCCCTCCTCCAGGTGACTCATTAGACCTCAGAAGGACTGGCTCCCTGCTATATTTACCACAAAAGCCCTCCACCCTCTGCTCTCCCTGAAACCGCCTGCCAGGAGGAGAGTCCCCTGTCCTAGTCTTCGAGAGAAACAATGGTATTAAATATTTTCCCACCCACACACAGAAGGCAGGTCAGGACTTACCGGAAGCAAGTCCGTCTCCAAGCAGGGTGCAAAGGATCACTAGCGGAAGGAACACTCCATGTCCCACGGAGGCCACGGCAAACACTGAGGTGCTCTTTGGTGCTATCCTGCCATGGCACATCTTTTATCCGTCCAAGTTTTTTTAAAAAGAAAAAATTTAAAATCCAGAAGAATCCTAAAGTCGGCCGGGAGCTGATTCACCTGTAACAAACAAACAAGGACATAAAGTGAAAACTTCAGCCATAAGTTAGTTAAAAGCAGCCACTTTGGTAAGGAAGCCATAATCACACACAAAGTTGAGAGAATTCTAGCAACTATTCGAATCCCTGCTGCCAGGAGAGGCAAGCACAGAAGTGGCTTTTCAACTCCTCCCTGGGGAAACAAGGCCTGCAGCGTGCAGAAGCCAGGAGGTGAGCTCTGTCTCACCTGGATGGCAGTCAGGCACAGCAGGGCTTTCAGAAACTGCCCAGCTCTGCCCCACCGCCTGCCTGGAGGCTCCAGCAGAGAGACGGCTATTGACACAGAGCTGCTACACCCAAGTCAGGCTTTGCCTTTGCCACTTGGACTCAGAACAAGTTCAACTAACCAAAAGGAAAAAAAGAGAGAGAACACGTGTCGTAAAGAGAGAATACACCGCCTAGAGAAGGAATGCAGCAGTGGGAGCTGAGGGCCCCAGCCTGCTTGCTAAACTGCCAAAGGCTGATGAGCCGGAGGACCTGACTCGACAGCCGTGAATCTCATTAATCAAGGCTCACCCAACACACCTGTGACCACATTATGTTGGCTGTCCCTGAAAAAGATGAGACGGGGGGAGGCATGGAGAATGGGCTGCAATTGCTAACTAGCCCTACCACCCACCCACTCTAGTTCAGACAAAGACTTCAGAAAAATAGGAACCAGTAGAGAGACAGAGAGAGAGTGAGAAAGAGTGTGTGTATCAGAGCTCAAGACTTTAAAGATTCTTTTCTATAAGCCTTTAGGGAGGTAAATGGGTTGACGATACATTACAATACATTATGGTGTGGGCCTATTATATTTCAGTTAACTTATTTAATTTCATTTGCCAGTTATTTTAGTTTACAACAGGTATTCCATATAATATTACACTTCTTTTTTTTAAGTTACACACACACACCCCCTTCTCCATTAATAAGGCTTTATATGCATAGATTAGGGAGTCTGCCATCTATAACCCTAATAAAGGATGCCCCTGGGACTCTGCCAGGGATACTACCCAGATCTGATTTTGTTTTTTTTTTGAGACACAGTCTTGCTCTGTTGCCCAGGCTAGAGTGCAATGGCACAATCTTGGCTCACTGCAACCTCCACCTCCCGGGTTGAAGTGATTCTCCTGCCTCAGCCTCCCAAGCAGCTGGAATTACAGGTGCCCGCCACCACACCCAGCTAATTTTTGTATTTTTAGTAGAGATGGGGTTTCACCATGTTGGCCAGGCTGGTCTCAAACTCCTGACCTCAAGTGATCCGCCATCTCAGCCTCCCAAAGTGCTGGGATTACAGGCGTGAACCACTGCACCTGGTACCAAATCTGATTTTAATCTGTGTCTGAAGCATGACT
Source organism: Homo sapiens (assembly GCF_000001405.40). NCBI lineage: Eukaryota > Metazoa > Chordata > Mammalia > Primates > Hominidae > Homo > Homo sapiens. The sequence continues at coordinate 69,657,137 of NC_000014.9, read as the reverse complement.
CAGGCCTACTCTCCCCTCCTAAAGAGGGTAACTGAAAACAGCAACGTAAGTTGTCTCTGTCCAAAGCAAGACTCTCTGTGAGAATTGTCAAAGGTTCATGAACAGAGCTGGCCACTGGTCCTCACCCATTTCCCTCTAATAATTGTGACTATAGCAGTCTTCTGTCCCCAGGTTTCACCCAGACTCCAGTTTGAGCCTTTAAAACTGTAGAACAGGGATGGTTCATGCAGAGGTCTGGGATGGAGTCTGTGAGTGACCACCAAACAGTACACAAAACTGTGTGTCGAATGTGTGCCCATTTATGTGGCTAAGAACAGTAAAGTCAGAATGCCTGGATTCAAATCTGTTTCTTTATTATGACCTTGTGGTCAAGTCATATAACCTCTCTTAGCCTTAGTCTCCTCATCTGTAAAATAGGGATAGTAACCATACTAACTTCGTAGAGTTGATGTAAGGATTAGGATAGACAAAGTGCCTGGCAAAGTGCTTGGTGCTTTGTAAGTCCTCAGTAAACACTGGCTGCTGCTGCTGTTGTAATCATTAATAAGACCTGCACAGTAGGGGCCTTAGAGTTCCTCAAGTTCCACCATCTCATTTGACAGATGCCAAATTAAGGTCCAAAGTGGTTAAGGGATATACTCAGAGGCCCCAGCTGGTCAGTGACAGAACTGGCAATGGGCCCTTTGGTATTGCTGTTTTAGGTGCAGTCACACCAGGTAACCCTACCGGGCAGTTGTCATCCCCTCAAGGCAATAACCAGTGGATCATCAAGAATGACACCTGCATGTGCCACATCACAGCACGTGTATAAAAAATATTTAAGCAGTGAATAAATGAGGCCACATAAGGTAGTGCTTAGGTGTTTTGTGCATAAGTGGTGGTAGTCAGGAAAGACTGCCTAGAGGAGGTGATGCTGAGTCCTAAAGGATGTGAGAGGGAGGGAGGGAGGGAAGAATGGAGGAATAGGGAGGGAGGGAAGAATGGAGGAAGACGGAGGGAGGGAAGAATGGAGGAAGAGGAAGAGGAAGGGAAAGGAAAGGAGGAAGGAAGGAAAAGAAAAAAAAAAGGAAGCACCAAATACAAGTGGATCAGAGTACTATGGGAGCACATTACTCCTGGCAGAGGCTGGAGGCAGGGGCTAAGCAGAGGGGTTTAAACTTTACCCTTACAAGGATTCTAAACAGGGAAATTATAAGACTAAACTCATTTAGGAAGATCATACTGGCAGGGATTTTAGAGGATTTTGGTGGGGTGTGAGGGGACAGGCAAGGGAAGAGCAGTGGGGCCGGCCAAATGGTAAAGAATCTTAAATTTAGTTTTTTGGCGTTTTTTGGTTGTTTTTTAAAAGACAGGGTCTCACTCTGTCATCCAGGCTGGAATGCAGTGGTGTGAGCACAGCTCACCTGAACCTCTGGGCTCAAGCAATCCTTCTGCTTCAGCATCCCAAGCAGCTGGGACTATAGGAGCACGCCACCACACCTAACTTTTTTTTTTTTTCTTTTAAAGAGAGAGGATGTCTCACTATGTCGCCCAGGCTGCTCTCAAACTTCTGGCCTCAAGTGATACTCCTAACTCAGCCTCCCAAAGGGCTGAAATTAGAGGGATGAGCCACTCTGCCTGGCTAGCATTTTATAATCAATATAGAATCCTTCGGAGAGCAACTTGTTAATAACTATTCCAAAAAAATGCACATATACTCTGACTTATCAGTTCTAGAATGTGCCCTAAGAAATCACATGTGCAATGACATATATGAAAGATATTCATGTATTGTTTGTAAAGGCAAAAGACTGAAGTAACCTAAAAGTTCATGAAAGGGGAGTATACTTAAATAAGTTATAGTACACCCAATATAATGGAATACCGTACAGAGGTTTAAAAAGAACAGGGCAATTCAACCTGTGCTAATATGGAATGACTTCTAAAATTAGTATGTGAAAAAAATAACCTGGGTATATGCATGTATTTTTGAAAGACAGACACACACACACACCCCTATAAGCACGGAAAAACTCACCTGGAATAAAGCATAAGAAATTGGTAACTGCCGGGCACAGTGGCTCATGCCTATAATCCCAGCACTTTGGGAGGCCGAGGCGGGTGGATCACAAGGTGAGGAGTTCAAGGCCAGCCTGGCCAAAACGGTGAAACCCCGTCTCTACTAGATATACAAAAATTAGCCAGGTGTGGTGGCGGGCACCTGTAATCCCAGCTACTCAGGAGGCTGAGGCAGGAGAATCGCTTGAACCCAGGAGGCGGAGGTTGTGGTGAGCCGATATTGTGCCACTGCACTCCAGCCTGGGTGACAGAATGAGACTCTGTTTCACACACACACACACACACACACCAAAAAAAAAAAAAAAAAAGAAATTGGTAACTAATGGTCGCCTTCAGGGAGGGGAACTGAGTGGTTAACGGGGAAGGAGAAAAAAAATTTTTAACTGCATATATTCCCTTTTACTATATTGAGTGTTGTACTTTGTACATGTATTATCTATTCAAACAAAATGTTAAGTTAATGTAGCAAGGCCTTCCTATAGACCACTTGTCTCCTCTCTCAACAAACTGCCATTAAAACAAATCCCAAAAACCTAATTGCTCCCTCTACCAGGAATAGAGTCATTTTAGGGGCTCAGCACAAGGGTCATCTAGAGGAATTCTTTCCTGACACTTCACACCACACCCACCTCCAACGTAGAAATGACCCCTTCTTACCCTGCTATGACTGTACCTTTAACAGGTTATTGTATCTATTTGTTTATCTGTCTCACCACACCAGGCTGAGACTTCCTTGAAGGCAGGGACAGTGAATTACTCAACTCGGAATCTTCAATAGCCAGCACAAGGCCTGGCATCTGACAGGCAGGTAGCAAAGGTCTGCCAAAATCATGAATACTGTGGGGAGGAGCCGGTATGGAAATGGAGCAGACAAGATGTACATGTATGAGTTCCTGATCAGTTTTAGGTTTTTTGTTTGTTTTTGGTTTTGCTTTGCAGGAATAGCTGGCTCCTCCCTTACTGCTTAAGCAGCTACCTGAGTCGAGGAACCAATTCCATCCTGAAGCCTAAGACGGGACAGGTGCAGAACAGACGGGGTGATGGAAATGAGGGCTTTGCAAAGAAAAGATAAATAGAAGGTAGTCAGTGGGGTGTTTATATGTAAGGCTAGGCCAAGGGTTACTGCTTCAGAAATAAAACAGAGGAAAGCTAACCCCTAAATCTCCAAAGTATTGCCCAGAATGGGAGAACCCAGCTACTGTGGAGAAAGGGCCACAGTATAAATCTAATCATTTTAAGAAATAATCTGCCTTGAATATAGAATTTAAAAAAACAAGACTTGTCCTTGGATTGTGGCTTTAGTACACCAAGCAAAAAAAAAAAAAAAAAAAAGTTTCACTAGGTATTCATTATCCCTAGAGAAATACTGAGGCTAAAACTTTGTTTAAACAAAAAGAATCCATTTCACTTCAGTATTCCTTTGGCATGTTAGTGACTACTCCTCCTAATTAAAAAAAATTATCACTGAAGAGGAACCTAGAACTAAGCATCAAGTTCAAAACTAGCACTCGGCCATCCTCACAAGGAATATCACATCTGAACTTAGAGCTGAGACAGAGGAGAGGGCCTCAATGACTCAGTCCCACCTCCGCCACCAGCCAGGGAGCTGGTCATGAAGGCTCTCTGCCTTCTGTTTCCACATCTGAAAAAGGCTCTAAGGCCACAGAATTCTTCACCGCTTCTACCCTTCTCTTGCTGTAATCCATCTCTTACCCCAATAGCCGGCTTTCCTCTTCAAAACACAGGTAAGGAGAGTCACCGTTCTGATTTTATTTCTTGGGAACTAGTGCTGCTGCCCCAACACCTGGTGGTAGCAGGAGGCCTCAGCTCGACCGTCAGCCCCAAAAGGGCAGCCTCTCCCACCTCTGTAAACCTAGAATATCAACAGCTGGGTGACTGCCCTACTGAATGTGATGTCGTGGACACTCACTTCCTGTCCGTAAGTTCCTCCAATGAGGAAGAAAACTGCCCTCAAGCCACAGCTCTGACCTTGAGGAAGTCACTTACTTCATCTCTGCCCCTGTTTCCTCATTTGTAAAATGGGGCTGTTACTTGCTTTGACTATCTCCGTAGACTCTGTTGAGGCTCAAAAGGAACAAAATATGAGGAAATGCTTTGTAAACTAGAAACACCTGGGGCTTATGTTTATTGTCTTAGCCAGAAGCCAAGACAGCAGAGGGCTGAGAAATGATGACACGCACGGTGGGCTTCTGGTAAGGGCCTGCAACACAAGCCCAAAGTTCACATGGTTTACTTGCTTGTTGTTGCCACAGATGCTTCCAAGTTAACCCAAGAGCCTGCTAATAAGTTTAAAGGTGCCCTGGAGTCACCTTCAAAAATGGCTCTGGCCTTGGGAGGCAACAGCAGCAGCAGCTAGGGCCAGCCAGGAAACAGCCAGGGCCCAGATCTCCTCAGTCCACGTGCCTGGGGCCCACCCCTGCTGAGAATGCCATAGTCCTGCTGAAGGTGCAAGGTCATCTCACACTATCAAACACTATCAAACACTTCTCCTAAAGGCAAGAGGGGTCTGATTCAGTCAAGCGTGGCTCCCAGGTGCTGCGTGGGTAAAGTCAGACTCCGTTTACATGTAATTTTTATTTTTATTTATTTATTTATTTATTTTTTCCGAGACAGAGTCTCACTCTGTTGCCCAGGCTGGAGTGCAGTGGGAGTGGCACAATCTTGGGTCACGGCAGCCTTTGCCTCCTGGCTTCAAGTGATTCTCGTGCCTCAGCCTCCTGAGTAGCTGGGACTACAGGCGCACGCCACCATGACTGGCTAATTTTTGTATTTTTAGTAGAGACAGGGTTTTGCCATGTCAATCAAGCTGGTCTCTAACTCCTGACCTCAAGTGATCTGCCTGTCTCGACCTCTACATGTAATTTTTAGAACAAATTTTTTCCTAAACCATGGCTCCTCTGTCCATTAGTTAAGAGAGGGAACTGGGATGATAAAACCAACATAAATCCTTTTCTTGCCTCAGACTAATCTAGACAGAGGATAATGGTAGTAGTGGTGAGAGTCCAGAACAACAGAGTTTATTCCTTTAATTAACTATGTTCACCAACCTTGATCCTGCCACATGATGAGAAAGGACAAAGAACAGTTCCAGAAACATGAACAGAAATTAACCCGCTAATTACATTTCAGGTTGTAATGATAACAAGTCCTAACACTTTGAAGTCCAAAGTTCCCCAGAGGGGTGTGATAAGTAAGAGAAATGACTAATACAGCCAAAGCTGCCCAGGCCCTTCCTTAACCTCTCTTTCTTCCCTGCAACATCTCCCCTCTGTACTCCTACTCACCCTGAAATGGCCAGGCTACAGTATCAAAACATATCTAAACACTTATTGGACCTTAATGCCTCCTACCCCCCAAAATTCAGTTATTTATAGATGCCTTCTATCTTCTCCCATTGTGGATCAATGGATTCTTCCAGTCCTACTAACTTCTATATCTTCCCCTTTCCTTTTTGCCACTAACACTTGAGTGCTTCGACAGCCACATATTTTACCGGACTCTGACATCCTTTCAGGCCAGAATATTAACTTATCCATTTCCTTTAATCTCCAGCTCCTACTTGAAAAGGCAAACATCAAACTCCTGTTAAAATCACACAGCCTCCAAATCACAAACATTACCCTCAGCTTTCCTCTTAAGCCACCTAAGCCATTACACAGTGTCAGAGGTTTTTTTGAATTGCTTTGATATTCCCTGCGCCCTTGTCTTCCACCCCCAGAATTGCTCACATCATCTGGGCAACACGCTTTCCCCAACTTCAGACAACAGGAAAGCCAGCAGACACACTACCACCCCACCTAAGTCTTCTCTTTAACAAGTCTCTAGCACCTAACAGCAGGATGACTGCAGCAGGGACCTGATCACAGGACAGGAGGGACAGCCTAGGTCCTAGCCACTGAAAAGCGGTTTGGCCTCAGGCAAGTCAGTGAGTCTTTCTGTCTCAGGGGTGAACCTGGATGATCCCCAAAGGACCTTTCAGCTGTAAGAAAACTGGAATGTCTTCTAGGGAATAGGAGGGGCCCAAAAGTATTTCCTCTAAAAAGTAAGTCAACACAGGCTCTGACTGGAAGGAAGCAACATTAACTCTATCCTCATTGTTCTGACTGAGCAGCACATTCCCCTACATCTTCCCAAGACGGATCCCTACCATCCATATCCCTCTGCATTGCAGCAAACCCAGGACAGTCCACTTTCCCTTTAGGGTTTAATCAATCCATCAGCACATTTGTATGGACTATCCGTACACAGTGTTCCTAAAATGCTTTCAAAAAATAACACATCTTAACAACAACAACAACAACAACAAAACCCAGCCTCTGCACACTGCAGAGATACAGGGGCCCAGGGAGAAAGGGAGAAAAGATGCAAGAGAGAAGGCAAGAGAGAACAAATAAGACCAGACAGAAAAAGAGGGGGGAGGAGGCAAAGTGCCTGTGAGCAGGAACAAAGCCTGTCGTAAGTTCCTGACCTGAAGGTAGGAAACCCCTTCTCCAAACCCAGCTTCAACATGACTGAGGGGCCAACCTTGGACAAGCACTTTGCTTCCATGCCTGTTTTCTCATCAGTAAAACAGAACACTTGAACTATGTATCTCTCAGGGAGGCCAGTATCATGGAAAAATTATGGCAGATACTATCAATTGGGTGGTCTAGGGCAATTGGGTGGTCTAGGTACAGTCGCCGTCTGTAAACTGGATAAATGATACCCACCTCATTGGGTTGCTGTGCAGTGAAATTAAGACAAACGTGAGACATGTAGGACGATGTATGAAACAGTGGGTGCTCAAATTCATGCTGGCTAAGCCCCTTCCTGTTCTAACAGGCCGTGACTGACCCCCACTAGACTCCCCAAAGGGCACTGTTTCAGCTGGTTTGGAAACACTGCCTGAGACTAGGCTCAAAACACAATGTTAGTTTAGACAAGAGAACAGCCAACAGGTTAAACAAGTGAGCCTCCCACATTCTTTCCCATCAAATTCTAAAAATTTTTTAAAGCACTTAGCACTACCTCCCCTCCAAATTAAACAGCTATTGTTTGTGACTATCCTAAAATAATATTAGTTTCTGGCAGACTAAGGGAATATACACATACACACACTCATTACCTCATTAAATAGGTGGAATTAGCCCCATTTTACAGATAAATGGAATTCAAGAGGCCTGGAAGTCTTTCCTCCTCCTGCTTCCCTAATAGGGCTCCCTGCTCTTTTGTTTTCCAAATAAAAGGTCAAGCTTAGTTCCCATCTTAGTTTGGGGAGAATTTCTCAGTTCAGCCCAAAGGCATGGAAGGCTCTTCCAAACCCTCAGCATCCCTGCCTGGACCAGGAATAGGACAGTCAATCATATCCCTCCCCGAAGGCCACTCACAGTTATTTAACTTTTGTATGCTGCATTTCCGCAGGTAATAAACTCCTGCAGAGACCACCAATTCTCTGCCCCCAAGTGCTCAACAATACTTCTCGAGTGAATGAGAAAAAAAGATAAACTCACAAGATATAATTTGTATAGAAAAATACAAAATGGCAAAATAACAGCATGTATAAAACAAGAGGGAAAAGATTATATAAATCCTGAAATTTTGGCCAGGTAGCAAAACAGATGCTTGGCAGAGGCGACTGTAATTGGTTCCTAGACCCTAGAGATATATCTCATGTGTCATCACATCTCTCTGCTTGGTTCCCATCAGGGCTGAGTGGAACAGGCTTCAATACCCAGTTGGCAAATAAAGTCCGGGAAGCCGATTTGCTAAAGCTGACTTCTTAGGGCTCTGTGTCTCCAATGACTATACTGCAATTCAGCTAATATTTACTGGCTGTCTTCTATGCAAGGCTTGGGTGATCATAGAGATGAATTGGGGCACAGTTCAATTCTTACTCTCAAGGAATTCACAACTTACGTGAGAGGAATTATGTTTATCTATATAACACTGTCAAATTGTTACTAGGGCCCCAAAGAAGGTTTTTTAAAAAGTGCTATGAGAACACAGAGGACACAGGAACAAAGACTTCTGATGGGAGTAGGGAGAAGTGAAAGAGAAAGCTTTGAGTTGGACCTTGAACCCATGCACAAATTTAGAGCTCCCAGGACAGTGTTTTGCATGCACAGTGCTACTTACAAAGAAAGATAAAGAAATGGAAGAACAACTCACCAAAAGGATGGCAGAGAGAGGAGGGAAAAAAAACTTAATTTTGTCTGCCTACAGTCACTGAATGCTGCTGTCTGGTAACAAAAAATGTCTGTCTGTCTATATACCTTCACTCAAAGAATGTTTAGGAGCTAAATTTTGGTATTCCGAGTACTTACAGCTATGCAGGAAACACCTCCTCCAGGTCAAAAATAGCAAACCCTAGAGAGCTGGCTGATGCAGTTATGTTTACTTTTTACCATCTCTGTGGATCGTTTTCCAAAGGCCTGGGAGTGGGATGGTATAAACAGGTCTGTGTCACTTCCTGGTTCTCAGGCCTTCTGCTACATTCCCAGTCAGTCTGGGAAAGCTGCCTATTTAAAAATAAACTTTAAAAACTCACCAAAAACCCCAACTCTAAACCATCCTTCCCTCTATTTCATTCAATTTTACTGAAATTAAAAGGATAGTGAGAAATAAGACAAAAATGACCAGAGAAAGTGAGTTCTCAGGTCAAAACAAAAAATAGGTGCTCAACTGAGCTCAAGGTCAAGAGACTTGGATTCTACTTGTGTTTCTCCTTTAACTGGAAAACTTGACCTTGAACAAGGAGGCTGCTTCATCTCTCTGCGTGATAGCTACTTCAGCATTCTCTTTACCTCAATGTAGTTATCCAAGCTTTCCGGACCTCTATTTCCTTTCTATAAAATGGTACTTAATAATGCCTATCTCACAGGGATATTTTAAGTATTATATGGGGAAATATATATAAAGTACATAGCATAGTGCCTGTGACTTAGTAAGTCATCAAAAATAGTAGTTACTATTATATTCATCACCATCTATCATTATTATTGTCATCATCATCTGAAAATGCAGGGCTGGACCAGACGATCTCTACTTGAAGAGCTTCTCTGGTTCCAAATCCTGATATCCTGATTCTTTATTTTTTTTTTCCTGAGATGCTCTGTCGCTCAGGCTGGGGTGCAGTGGCGCAATCTCGGCTCACGGCAACCTCTGCCTCTCGGGTTCAAGTGATTCTCACGCCTCAGCCACCCGATTAGCTAGAAGTACAGGTGTGCGCCACCAAGCCCGACTAATTTTTGTATTTTCAGTAGAGACAGGGTTTCACCATGTTGGCCAGGCTGGTCTCAAACTTCTGGTCTCATGTGATCTGCCTGCCTTGGCCTCCCGAAGTGCTGGGATTACAGGCGTGAGCCACTGTACCCAGCCCAAATCCTGATTCTTTAAGTCACTTTCTCCTTTTTTCCTTTTTTTTTTTTCCAGGGGGTTGGACAGCAAGAAAAGGGAGATAAACTTGGCAAAACGGTTAAATACACATCCTCAGCCTTTATGTTAGAAATACTAGCATACAATTAGGACATCCATTAGTGAGTGAAATGGGGCATATTACTTCCCCCAGCAGAAAAGCTTTGCCTATTTCTTGCATTAAATCCGTAGCATTGTGGCAAGTTCACCAACACACTATCTGTACTCCCATGAGCACCATGGACAACCCCACCCCCACTCCACCAGCCAGCACAATTTGACTTCACCCACCTCACCTCTAACTGTATAAACAAACTTCTCAGCAGTTCCTTAGAGAGCCCTAAAAGATAGCAGAGTGACCAATCCACCCCTTTCTAATAATGACTAATCCTTCCAACAAAGTATTTATCTTTCAAAAGAGTCTTCCTGATATAATTTCAGTGTGGCCAAAAATCAAATGACCTTCCCAAAAGTTAGTGTAACCAGGAGCATTCAGCTTCACCAAGGCCAAGGTACTTAATTGTAATTAAATTTGGATGAAATAAACAAACATTTTCATCCATCCATCCATTCATTCATTCAGTGCCTGTGATGTGCCAAATGCTATAGAATATATCAAAAACTAATAGGATGAGGTGAGTGAGAACAATAAAGGATGATGCCTGGGGCTGGGCACTGTGGCTCATGCCTGTAATCCGAGCACTTTGGGAAGCCAAGGCGGGCGGATCACGAGGTCAGGAGTTCGAGACCATCCTGGCTAACATGGTGAAACCCCGTCTCTACTAAAAATACAAAAAATTAGCCGGGCATGGTGGCGGGTGCCTGTAGTCCCAGCTACTAGGGAGGCTGAGGCAGGAGAATGGTGTGAACCTGGGAAGCAGAGCTTGCAGTGAGCCAAGATTGCACCGCTGCACTCCAGCCTGGGCGACAGAGTGATACCCTGTCTCAAAAAAAAAAAAAAAAAAAGATGGAAAAAAAAAAGCCTAAGTTTTTGGCCTAAGTAACTGCATAAATGGTAGAAGCTACCACAGGAGAAAAAGAATACAGGTGAATAAGCAGGTTTGGTCAGGGAACATAATGAATTTCATTCAGATTATTCTTTAATATGTTGAGCTGGGGTACCTGAGGGATAACTGGTAGAAAGGTCTAGCAGGCAAATTAGAAATGAATGTGAAACCCTATAGAGCACTCTGAGCTTGGGATGTAGCCCTGGAGTGATGTAGCCCTGGAGTGATCAACCTGTAAGTGACAGTTGAAACCATGCAAAATAGATGAGCTCACCTAGGAAAGAGGACAGGTTGAGAAGAAAGTTAAGGACAGAATCCTAGGGAGAATGCTAACTTATAATGGGCATACTGAGGAAGGAAAGCCTATGAGAGATACTCCAAAAGGTACATGGAAACCAGGGGCATGTGCAACACAGATGTCAAGAGAGAGACAGAGAGACTCAAGGAAAACATGAGAAGTGGCAGATACAGCAAAGGCCCAGAAAGACGAAGACTGAAAAAGGCCCACTGGATCTGGCCACTAGGAAATCACTGGTGACCTAATCAAGAACAGTTTTATCGGAGTGGTGAAGGCAGATTATATCAAATTTAACATGAATTAAAAGTGGGAGGCCAGGCGCAGTGGCTCACGCTTGTAATCCCAGCACTTTGGGAGGCCAAGGCGGGCGGATCACCTGAGGTCAGGAGCTCCAGACTAACCTGGCCAACACGGTGAAACCCCATCTCTACTAAAAATACAAAAATTATCCAGGCGTGGTGGTGCACACCTGTAGTCCCAGCTACTTGGAAGGCTGAGGCAGGAGAATCGCTTGAAGCAGGGAGGCGGAGGTTACAGTGAGCTGAGATCGCGCCATTGCACTCCAGCCTGGGTGACAGAGCGAGATGCTGTCTCAAAAAAAAAAAAAAGTGAGAAAGTGGACGTAATAAGGGCAAAACTATTTGGGGAAGGGAGTGAAAAAGAAGGGAGAAGAAAGACTGGATGATAACTAGAGGGGGTTTGTGTCTTATAAGGTATACCTTCTCAATTAACCCAATGATTTGAGTTAAGGCTTCCTAAATGGTCCAGATAGCTCAGAGACACCCTCCACCTCTTCCATGGAAAGTCTCTCTGAACTAACACTTCCACACTCTGTGTTTAGCAAAAGCTAGGTAAAAGTTGGGGATACAGCTTAAAGTTTCCTGCTTCCTTAGTGTTCAACAACAACAAAGTCTCTCTACCCCATCATCCCCTCCCCTGAAATTGTTACCTCTTCTATAGGATTCATGAATGGAAAAAAAATAGCCTAGTGGCAGGGCCAAAGAGGTGACCTTCCCTAATACATCTGAGGCCTTAAGGTTCTCCATACATATGGTCCCAGTTTCTGCCATTTCCCTCCTTTCTAGTCAGAAACTAACCTGAGTATTTTCCCCTGAGTTTCAGGTTTAGGATTCCAGGGACATGTCTTCACCTCCATCTAATGAAGCTTAACAGCCCCAATGAGGTGCACACTCAAGCCAAACAAGATCCTGTCTTCTGGCTCCAAATATTCTCCATCTTGTGTAACTTCCAGGAAGCCTCCTAATTTATAACCAAACCATGATTCCTCCTGTCCTCTTCATCATAAATTACCCAAGCTTCCTGTAAGCTGTCAAGGTGGGACTGTGAGGTACAAGCAAAAATGAGAAGTAGGAACTTGCCCACTGTTCCTTCCCTTTGATTAGCCCCATGCCCCTGCCGCCACCTATACCCTTACCTCACCTTCTAATTGTACAAAGTCCCTCTGCCAAGGTCTATATGTTCTAGTTCTAGCTCCAGTCATACTTCCAGTTCCCTGCATGTGGGGCCCTAAATCAGGAATCAAGGAGTTTGCTTAAACTAATTAACATAAAGGAGAGTCCTTCAAACGTCCAAATAGAGATTCCAAAAGTAATCCAAATTAGGCAAAGTTCAGACAAAGGCACCAAATGAATAACTTTATAAAATCCAGGCAAATCAGATGAGGACACGTCCTGAGAAATAATTAATTTTTTTTTTTTTTGAGACGGAGTCTCACTCTGTCGCAAGGCTGGAGTGCAGTGGCATAATCTTGGCTCACTGCAACTTCCTGCTTCAAGCGATTCTCCTGCCTCAGCCTCCCGAGTAGCTGGGACTACAGGCACACGCCCCCAAGCCCAGCTAATTTTTCTATTTCTAGAAGAGACAGGGTTTCACCATGTTGGCCAGGATGGTCTCGATCTCTTGACCTCGTGATCCGCCAGCCTCAGCCTACCAAAGTGCTGGGATTACAGGTGTGAGCCACCGTGCCCAGCCATAATTAATTAATTAATTCAGGCAACATTCTGGAATATGTTAAAAGGGATTATGATAAACACAGAGAAGATGAAGAAGAAACATCATAAATTAATGAGAGAATTTGATATTTCCCTCCAGACAGGGCTTATGAACTCATTCCTAACATGCTTCTTTCTTAAGGAACTCAGTGACTATTCAACACATACATTGGGCACCTACATGTACGAGATTCCTTGAGAGGTAAAGGAAGCATACGCCCTTAAGAGTTTACGGTCTACTGTATATTGTGTATATATATAAGACACAAACACAAATAATTACAACATGAGGTACAAAGTGAAAAGTCATGGGAGATATACAGCCAACGTGTCAAAGATAAAACAGGAAGATAAGCTGGAGTCCAGAAGAGGGAAGTGACAGAGAAAATTACAGGGTCAATCAATGTAGTCTAGTGAATAGTACATAGTCTCTGGAGTCACACAAAAGGGAATTCAAATCCTGACTCTACCTCTAGCTTCTCACAGGGCCTAGGTATGCTGCTTTACTGTTGTGAGCCTCTGTTTGTCACATATAAAATTGAGGTAACAGACCTATACTTCATGGAATTACAGAGTCAATGAGTCACACATTTTTGAAATTGAATATAGTATCTGGCACAGAATAAGGCCAGGTAAAATGGAGGTGCTCACCCACACACAGAGACTTAATGCTCTCTTCCCTCCCCACACACGGCTGTCTGGGCCTGACTCATGAATAGGCAGACAGCCAAGCACCTGCTGTTTGCTCACCAATTCTGACTAGTTAGTTCAGTTGTTTGCCCAGGTTTAATGGGACCATGATCAGGAGGTACAGGAAGAAGACTCAAAGTGTATTTGTGTCACATGCATGTCAGGATGCACAGAATCTTCTGCTAGAAGGTGCAGCATTAGAATATGGGTAAAGTTACAGATTATACCACGTTCAGCAAGATACTGGCTATACTATTCTTTTGGACATAGCAGGTGCCAGATAAATATTTGGCAAACTGACATGATGTGAATCTGGCTGAATTACCATAAGATTTGTCTAAATGATCCATGTTTCAATAAGTGAACACAGAAGGAAAAGACATCCAAGGTTAATACCTGATTTGAGGGACAGCTGAGGAATATCTACCTCTAGTCATGGTGGAATAATGGGGACTCAACTTATTCTCCTTCCCTAAACAACTGAAAAACCAGATAAAATAACGGTTTTCAGACATTGGACAACAGGCAGCACAGGGCAGTAATCCTTGAGAAATGGGGGAAAAAACGCAGTGAGCCCTACTACTGCCCCACTTAACTCCCTTGAGAGTTTCCAGACCATAGGGTAGGGCAGAGAAACCTGAAAGAGTTCAGCAATGTCACTCAGTTGAAAAAACAGAGTTGGAAATTTGGAGAGGCCCAAGTGGCTAGAATTTGCAGGGCAAATTAATTGAAAAGGAGAGAGCTGCAAAGAGCAAAACCACCAAACATCTGCAGAGGGACCCCTTTGAGTTTTGGGCTGAGTACTGATCTGTGCATGCCTCTGAGGAAACTAGCAAGGGTGGGAAAATAATGATCAGAAAGAAGTGGGTGGCACAACCCCTAGAACTCACTCAGAGTCAGAAATAGTTCATGCTCTGATATGGTTTGGCTGTGTCCCCAACCAAATCTCACCTTGAATTGTATCGCCCAGAATTCTCTCGTGTTGTGGGAGGGACCCAGCAGGGGGGCGGGGGGCGGGGTAATTGAATCACGGGTGCTGGTCTTTCCCATGCTATTCTCATGATAGTGAATAAGTCTCACAAGATCTGATGGGTTTATCAGGGGTTTCCACTTTTGCTTCTTCCTCATTTCTCTTGCCGCCACCATGTAAGAAGTGCCTTTCACTTCCTGCCATGATTCTGAGGCCTCCCCAGCCATGTGGAACTGTAAGTCCAATCAAACCTCTTTTTCTTCCCAGTCTTGAGTATGTCTTCATCAGCAGTGTGAAAACAGACTAATACATGCTCCCACCAGCCAAGGCAGAAAAGTCTTCTAATACACAGGGCACTGGATGGAATCTTCAGAAGGTTTTTGCCTCCAAGTGGGACCAGCTTAGTTATGTTAGCTATTCCGGACTCACCCTAACAAAGCTTAAAAGTAAGCCATGAAAGGATCAAACCAATTCCAAGTAACTGAACTGCTCCTGAGAACAAAGCCCAAAAGTATTTTAAAAAATACAAAAAGTTCCAGCACCCAGCAAGGTAGAACTATGATTGGCTTTCAATAAAAAATTAACAGGCATGCAAAATAAAGCCCAGGAAGATATGAGCCAAAACTAGGAGAATAATCAAACAACAGAAACAGATCAAGAAATGACAGATGACAGAACTAGTAGACAAGGATGTTAAATCTCTATTATAAATATACTCCATGTGTTCAAGAAGAACAAAGCACGAGCATGATGAAGAGAGAAAAGTCATAAAGAATATTTGAAGTGGCTAGGCACAGTGGCTTGTGCCTGTAACCCCAGCACTTTGGGAGGCCAAGGCAGGAGGATCTCTTGATTCCAGGAGTTCGAGACCAGCCTGGGCAACATAGGGAGACCCCCCCTCCTCTCTACAAAAAAAAAAAAATTTTTTTTAAATTATCTGGGTGTAGTGGCATGCACCTGTAATCTCAGCTACTCAGGAGACTGAGGTGGGAGGACTGCTTGAGCCCAGGAGGTTGAGGCTGCAACGAGCTATGATCACAGCACTGCACTCCAGCCTGGGTGGCAGAGCGAGACCCTGTCTCAAAAAAAATAAAGATTCAAATATTCAAATTGAACTTCTAGAGGGAAGAATACCAATACCTGAAATAAAAAGTACACAGGATAGGATTAACAGCAGATTAGACAATGCAGAAGAAAAAAATAGTAAATTTGCAAAAGAAATTATCCAAAATTATACACTGAGAAAAAAGACTGAAAAAAGAACAGAACATCACTGAACTGTAGGATATATCAAGCAGCCTAATAGAACAGGAGTAATGGTTGGGGAGAGGTAGCAAGGCACAGAAAAAATATTGAGAAAAGAATGCCCCAAATTTTCCAAATTATATGAAAATTATGCACAAACAGATACAAGAAGCTCATCAAACCCCAAGAAGAAGAAGAAACACAAAAAGAAAACACAAGGTACATCATAATCGAAATGTTAAAAAAACAGTGATAAAGAAAATCCTAAAAGTAGCCATGGGGCAGGGAATTAGACACATGGCAGACAGAGGAGCAAAGAATTACAGCAGATTCAGTGTCAGGAATAATGCAAGCCAGGAGGCAATGGAGGCTCCATTCCATCACTAATGCTTTTTGTGCACTGGAATAATATTTAGGAAGGCCTAGTGTTGAGTACAAGGGTGAGAACTCTGTGGCCTTAAAAGCATTTGCAAGTACAGTATCCTCTGAAACTGAAAAAGGATAAAAACCCTTTCTTAGGCTCACATCTAAAAAGGGCATTTACCCATGTTTTATATCTATGTCCTCAGAACGTTACAGACTGTAATTCCAGTCTTACAGCAATAATCACTTAACACACTGGAAAAGAGACAGGAAAAGCTATCAGAGGATTCATCCCATATCAGAATAAAATCAAGTTAGAAATAAAAAATAAGGAGTTAGTCTACCAATGTCAGGCTTGAGCTGGTCTCTCTCCCTTCAAGTGTAGATATTTGTTGGTTAATGTGTCTCACTGCCCTCTACAAATTCAGATAAAATTTATTTTTCACACCAGGTGCAGTGGCTCATGCCTGTAATCCCAGTGCTTTGGGAGGCTGAGGCAGAAGGATCACTCAAGGTGAGGAGTTTGAAACCACCTGGGCAACAGAGTGAGACCCTGTCTCTACAAAAAATAAAAAGAAAATCAGCCAGGTGTGGTGGTGTGCACCTGTAGTCCTGGCTACTCGGGAGACTGAGACAGGAGAAATCACTTGAGCCAAGGAGTTCGAGGTTACAGTAAGCTATGATTGTGCTACTGCACTCCAACCTGGGCAACAGAGTAAGATCTTGTCTCCAAATATATATATTATATATTATATGTGTGTGTGTATATATATATAAATTTTTTTCAGAATGGAAGAATTCTCTTAAGGAGTAAGTGAATGATAGTTACTCAGTTCTTAGCTATGCAATCCAGCCCAGGACAGCAAAATCTCTTCCTCATTAAGCACCCTGGGCTTTGACCCCATTCTTCAGAGTCCAGCCTGGGTCTCTACACATCCTGGAGGAGGCATTAAGGTGGGAGCTTTCCCGGGAGTCTATAGTTAATAGTTTCGTGGTTCCTCCCTCCCCCACTAAACTATAAACTAAACTGTAAATAAACTCCCAGGAAGGCTGGTACCCATGCTACCTTTATAATCTGAGACTAATGCACACTTCCCCCCGCAAAAAAAAAAAAAAAAAAAAAAACAGTGTAGGTGCCCCAGAGGGACTCTCTTCCCCAAAATACTAGTTGCCTGAACCAGTGGTTTTCTAACTGGGACCAATTTTGTGCCACCTCCCCCATTTGGCAATGTCTAGAGGCATATTTGGTTGTCACACCTTGGGGGTAAGGTGCTACTGGTATCTAATGGATAGAGCAAGGCATGTCAACTAAACATCCCACAACACACAGGACAACCCCATACAACAAAGAATCACTTGATCCAACATCAGTGATGCTGCAGATGAAAGCCCTGGCCTAAGTGAACAAAGGATGGGCTGCCAAGATGTCAGTTGATCCACCTTAGTTGTACATGTGGTGCAAAACTCCCCCAAACCACTGGAAAGCCTTTTTGTCCAACCAGCATGTCCCCAGACCAACTCCGTGATTCTCTCATCTCTAACTCAGGTTTACACTCCCTCAGAGAGGGGCTTGGGAATTAAGATATCTGGTTTTTCACCCCAGCTCTGCCCCTGGCTGTGATTCTGGACATGTAACAAAACTTTTCTGGGCCCATTTCCCCCTCAGTAAAATAAACTGGAAAAGAGTAAAAGTTCTTTCAGCTCTAAACTTCTGTTTTAAACGCTAGGTTTGGCCTTATTTCTTTTTTTTTTTTTTTTTTTTTTTTTTGAGACGGAGTCTCGCTGTGTTGCCCAGGCTGGATCCCGGCTCACTGCAAGCTCCGCCTCCCGGGTTCACGCCATTCTCCTGCCTCAG
Source organism: Homo sapiens (assembly GCF_000001405.40). Lineage (NCBI taxonomy): Eukaryota > Metazoa > Chordata > Mammalia > Primates > Hominidae > Homo > Homo sapiens. The sequence continues at coordinate 69,639,226 of NC_000014.9, read as the reverse complement.
CCTCCCGAGTAGCTGGGACTACAGGTGCCCGCCACAACGCCTGGCTAATTTTTTGTATTTTTAGTAGAGACGGGGTTTCACCGTGTTAGCCAGGATCGAGACCTCAATCTCCTGACCTTGTGATCCACCCGCCTCAGCCTCCCAAAGTGCTGGGATTACAGGCGTGAGCCACTGCACCCGGCCTGGCCTTATCTACTTCTAATGATCCAAAGAGAAACGGGCAAGGACCCAATCTTGTTGTGAGTAAGCACACACACCCTCTGAAGGGCTGTGGTTCTTATACCTTGGAAACCAAACTGGACCAAAGGAGCTCAGAGAAGCCAGCAGCTTAGATAAGAGGGGCCCGCCTAAAAGGCTCTGTAGACACTGGCTGAGAAGCCAGCCCAGGACCTTGGGTTTAAATTACGCAAGTCCTGACTAGCCCCTGTCTTGCCTTCCCTAGGTCAGTCTTTTAAATCAACTATTAAAAGGTGGAATAGGAAGGACACAGCCTTACTATTCAAAGTATGGTCCATTAACAGCAGCACTGGCAGCACCTGGGAGCTTGTTAGAAATGAAGAATTTCAGCCTTCATCCCAGATCTACTGAATCAGAATCTGCATTTTAGTAAGGTTCCCCAGGTGATTCATATGCATGTTAAAGTTTGGGGAAGTCCTGGTTAGGGTATGCTGCCCTTCCAGTCCCTGCTTTGTCACCTCTTCATTTGGTAAAGGTGGCTTTTAAGACTGTCCACAACCCTCATCCTTCAATCCCACACACACACAATTACACACACACACACACACACACACACACACACACACTCCCCACCCCACCCCAGTTCAGAACCTTCAAACTCACACCAAGAGTGATGGGGGTAGATTACTTCCTTTTTGCGTCTTTCTTAGGTCCTTACAAGGCCAGAAAGAGGCAAGGTTTGAAGCACAAGCTAAATTACAGTCCTTCCAAGTGAGTGATTCAGCCCATCCCTGCCATTCAAAGGCTCTCCAGGAGGAGGGACAGAAAACGGGGTGGTAAACAGAAAGGTATAAACTCTGATGGAAAGAGATTCATCATTTGCATCTGAACAGAGAATAACAAGGGTCCAAAGTTTCATTTCTAACATTTTTTGTTTTTGTTTCTGTTTTTTGCTGCTGCTGTCTTATGTAACATAAAGATTCTTGGAGGCATAGGCAAAAGGGCAAAGCACACACACAGAGTTAACAAAAACACAGCAAGAGTTCTCCTAGCAGAGTGGTGGGGGGCAGCAGCTGGAACAAAACCAAGACCTGGATGAAGCATAGCATAACTGAGCACTGGAAAAGAAGATAGAACGTGGGGAGAAGGGGGGCTGGACTCTGTCATGCAGTCAGTGCACTGAAGTGACTATGCTGCTGCCCCACACTCCCTCCCCTGCACAGGTCACTCACCCCTCTCACCCCACCCGCTGTCACAAGCAGCAGATGGCCCAGCCCTGGGCAGCTGGTCAGAGGACAGCAATCTGCACGTGCTTGCCTGCCCCTCCTCCAGGGCTGGAGATGAGGAGGACCAGGTCAAAGTCAATGCCCATCCCTGGTGGAAGCAATTCTTGCAAGAGTGTCCTGGGGGTGGGGATGGCAACATCACCCAATGCTTTGCCACAATGAGACACACTTCAAAAACAACTCAGCATTATCCAAGGCTCTCCAGCACCCACACACAGCTCAGAAAGAGAGAGCCTTAGGCAGGGTAAGGGTGGAGAGGGTCAGAGAACAGTTCCCAGAGCGCACTGGGGTATGCTGACCCTGGTTAGGGGGGGACATTCATTCCTTCAACATTTGCTGTGTATATACCACATCCCAGGCGCTGCACCAGCAATGAGGGATACAGTGGTGATAGCAGACAGTCTCTGCCCTCAAGAAGCTCAGGTAAGGTCAGGAAGAACAAGGAAACAGACGGTAATATGGTGCGGTAAGTACTGAGCACAGGGTGTAATGCCAGCACCAAGGAGAGGCACCCACACAAGTATGGGGCAAGCGGCAGTCTAAGCTGATACCTGGCTTTAGAAGGTATTAGCCAGACAGAGCAGAAAGAGGTGGGTACAGGGAGTGGTGGGGCATTCCAAGGAGAAGAAACACATCAAAAAGCTGGGAGGCAAAAGAGACCTGGGAACTGCAATCTGTGCTGTCCCAGCCTTTGCTAACTTTGGTCACCTAGACCAGGGGCAGACTCCCGGGTTTGTCACGGAATCCTAACACATTACTGCCTTAAGGAACTTTGGGATCATCTTATAAAATCCAATCTACCCATTTTAGGAGAGGAAAACTGAGGCCTATCAAATGATCATGACTTCTTGAGAGAATGGCTGAACCAGAACCCCATTCTCCTAACTCTCACCAAACAAAGTTTCCTCATATATCTCCCAATCAGAATCTGACCACTGACTGAGCCCTTCTGGACACAGAGCCAGGCCCAGAACTGTTCTCCACTAGGCTAGGTCTGTTCTGAGAACCCAAGGAATAGCTCTCGTCCAGGCCTCTGCCAGACTGGAGGTCCAGCAGCACTAGCCTCCAGGAACTCCAACAAGGTAGGAACAGCTCATGAGAAAAAAAGACTGGCTACCTGCCTCTTCTGGAAAGGAGGCAGAAAGCACACATGGCAGTACCGGAGATAGGCTCTGTGAGTGTATATTGGCAACAATGGGTTCCCCCAGGAAATGAAGAGTTGTTCTAAGAGCTGAAGGAAATTATCAGCCAACACAGAAAGAGGAGGCGAGTCTGAGGTACTGCCAAACCAGGCAGGCTTAATTAAGGCTCTCCCACCCTCTTCCTCAGGAAGCCAGTCCCTACCCCTGGCTGGTCACACTACCTTAACTGTGAGAAGCACTCATTTCAGGGAAGCTGAAGGCCTTCCTCTTGGTCTCACCTCAGGAGGTAAGCCATCAGCCAGGGGTCTGAGCCACTGGAATTTCAGGGCCTAGCTGCCCTTACTGTCACCTCCGTCTATGCCTTCAACAGCAACAGTACTTGCTCTATTGTGGTTCTATAGCCTGCCGCCCACTCCAGGCAGCAAGAGTGTGTGCAGAGTGGAAGAAAGCACTCATTAGCTTTGAGTGTAACCCTCTACAGAATCTAAATAGAAGGCACAGTTATTCAACTGCTAAGGCACAATTCCTCCTCTTCTCATAGTAAAACAAAGATGCATGTCCACACCCACTAGCTGACTAAAAACTGTGCAGAAAGAGAATAAGAGGCACTGGGGTTAAACCAACTTACTAAATTCATCTCAGTCCCTGGCAATCCTCAGTTCTATGACCCTGAAGCATAGGTGTGATGAAAACAGCCTAATAATCAGAAATCTTTCCTGTCCAAAATGCCCTCAGATGCTGTCCCTGACCACATGCTCAAGTGCAATCCCCAAAGGCTGGCCCTGGCCTTCAGGGCCAATGCCAGCCCAGGGCCCTAGACATGGATATAAAGGCCAAGAAAGTGGCCTGCCAGAAAAAGATTTACTCTAGGGCTGAAAAGCCACGTTTGGTCTCGTACAACAAAGGGGTTATAATGGGAACCCTGTGTTCTAAACTCCTTCACATCTGCCACAAGGAACCTCTGGGTGGAGGTGAAAATGTGTGTGTGTGTGTGTGTGTGTGTGTGTGTGTGTGTGTGTGTGTGTGGTGTGCCTTGGGTGGAGTGGGGGCAGAGGAGATGACTTCCTTCTCTTCCACCCAAAAAACAACTCTTTAGAATATGTCCTCCTGAAAGGCAAGTAAGTACAGTTCTGATTTCCAAACCTCACTGTTTGACAGAACTTGTTTTCTCTCCCTGCTTTTTAAAACAGATGAATGCTCCCCTAGGGGAAAAGCAGCTGTAAATATAGAAGAGGGTGGAAAAAGAATCCTGCTATGAGTTCCAGAGGAACTATTGTACTATTGTAAAAGGCCTTCTCAAAAGAAGCAATACACCCTATTCCAAAAAGAAAACACACAACTTCATCCAAAGTCTTTCTCTAAAGTGTACCTTTGGGCAGATGATTTCTTTACACTCCACAGCTGCTTCCTCCTCTACCTGACACTAAGGCCTTCACATATTAAGTGAGTTAGCAATTTTCTTCCTGGGAGCCTTAGAAAGAACTAGTCCACAACTCAGTCCACTGCTACTGAGTGTCCTCCATCATCATCAACATTATCATCATCTTCATCGTCGTCATCATCATCATCAAAGGACTTAATTCATTACCAAACTACTGCTGACATTTAAATAAACTTAAGCCATTATCTTTTTAGGCAAACTGAGGCCATAGTATTTACTAGCTGAGAATAGAATGGGAAGAGGGTATAAATCTGAAAAAGGTGGCCTGGCTTCTATATTTATTACTTTTCAAAAGCAACAGCATTTTTCAAAGGCTCAGGATTCTGTGAAATCACCCTCTAGCTTGTTATATCCCTTCATCCCAACAGTAGTGGGGATGCCACCCCAAAATCCATTTACCAGAAATAAAAGATGTAAAGACATGTTTTGGATAAAGTTTGTGAGAAAAAAATTCAAGCTGCTTCTATTTTCATACAAGCTACAATCACAAAGAGTTTTGCCTTTGCAACCACACTTCCTACCTAGAATTCCAGTAAATTTAGATGTGCCTCATAAATCTAAACTGTGTAACAGGGAATTTAGCTGGCTGAAACCGTCCTAGCCCACAGATGTTACCAACCTATTTCACAGTCCTAGGTGGATCTAAGAAATGAAAGGGAGATGGAGGGGAAAAGTTAGCATGATGCTTAAAGCCCTACCAAGTCAGAAGTGGAGGATACTGCTTTTAATTTCATGCAAGATTCTACTATTCAAAGAAAAAATGCAACATAAGCCTATAAACCACATCAGTGACATGACAAAGAAAATGTTTGTATTTGCAAAATACATTCAAATCCCCAAACTCCCCAGAAAAATCAATACAAGTGCCAATAATACAAATAAATCAAATCCTCAATCTGACAGGTCTGCTTACCATTGCTCCTAAGAGTTCATTCCCTGAAGCTATAAGCTTCCCTGTGGCCAGGCACCTTTCACACCCTCCTTCTGGGGTGATTCACCATGCAGAGAACCTGGATCAAACAGAGGCATCTGGCCTCACCATCATTCCCCAAGAACCCTAGTCAACTTCTAGGATAAGCACATTTTCCACATGAACCAGAGTTTCAAGAGAATCCCATGATAATACAAACTCTTGGGAGACAAGTCTGACCCTTCCTGACCTTTCCACTTTCTCTCAGGTCTTGGTCACCAGAGTCCTAAAACTGGATGGTCCCCAGCCTCCAGCTGCTGCTGTGCTCCAGGCCACCCAAAATCCTACTGGGAACTGCACTCCCAAAGTACTATCAGGTCGCCTTTCACCTCCAATGGTTCACATTTGTTTATTCCATGTATCATCATTTCCTGACAATCTTCTATATACAGCTTTAAAATGCAAAGAAGGCACAATCCCCAGCCTACCAAGAATTTCAGTGGAGTTGAGGAGGCTGCAAACCCAAACAGCAAACAATCAAAACACACAATAAGGCAATCATGTCTATTTCAGTATTCTACATGGGTGCAATAAAATGCTAACCAGTGAGATATGAATGATTAGAATATAAGGAAGAATAAGCTGCAGCTATTTGTGAGTTATGAACAAAATAATGAAAAAATAGGAAAAAAAGAAATTAATCTGAACCAAGATAATCAAAGAGCGCCTTAAAAAGGAAAGAAAGGAGATCTGACCTGAAAGCTTTGAGGGCTGAATAAGTATGAGGGTGTAAAGAGGGAACATTCCTTCTGGGGCAGGAATGCCGAAGCAAACATGCTAGATAGCGGGTGGCAGGGTAAGGTCGGGAAGAGAGGCCAAGGATCAGGGAAGAACAGAAAATAAACTCCATTCTGAAATCTGTCAGGGCAAGGGACAGTTCTTGCTGGTTTTCTTAGCATCTGTCACATAGCAGACTCTGGCTATTCCACAAAGTATTGAGTATTCAACTGAATATTTAAGGTAAGGCCAGTTTGCACAGCCATGAAAAACAGGCAGAGAAATTCTGCCTTGGATCAGTAAGTAGTGGGAAGTCAACAAATATTCTTGAGCAGGAAACCTGACCTAATCCAGTTCAACAATCATTTCCTAAAGGCCTCCTATATTTGAGGACCAAGAATATCCTGAAGGAACACCTCTACCATAGGAAGGGATAGGAATGCTACCTCATACACATAGGGCTTTTTTCTCTTACCTAGTCTCACCGGAGAGGAGAACCGTGTTCTAGCAGGGTGAACCTGGCAAGAGAGATTGAAACAGCCTGGAAGGCCAGCGGATGACAAGGTCTGGTTAGGGTGGTGGAGATAGGAACCTGTGAAAGAAAGAACTGGGAGGGCGGGTCACTGACTAGATTGGAGAAGCTCAAAAGAGGGGAGTTTTGGATGAGAGCAGGAAGACTCAGGTTTTGATTTCCAGACGGTGTCATTATCTTCAGGCAATGCTTTGGCTCAGTGAACACCAAATGCTAGGGTCAGTCATCTCAGCCATTCTGCCTGTTTCTGGGAACGGGGGTTACACATTTCATCCTTCCCATCTGCCCAGTGTTTTGTTTTTTTTTTTTAATGCTAGTTGTGATTTCCTGTAATTCTCATTTGCAAGGGGGTAAAGGGGGATCAATGAGATGATACAGAAAGGAGGAGCTGACAATTCTTTTGTCCATCACATCATGACAAATACGTCTCAACAGTCCTGCACTGAAGTTTTACTGGCAGCTCTTACTCTGGGAAGAAGAGAAAAGGGGAAGGAAGCATTACATTTTAAAAGCCACGAGGGAAGTGTTCTCCTTACACGATGAGTTTTCCCCTTCTAGGCAATCCTCCCCAGCTGCATTTACTGAGGGAGGAGGGATGAGACAGAGAAGTGTCAGCCCTGAGAGCAACAGGAGGGCCAGCCTGGCTCCCAGAAATGCAGCTCCTCCCTCTGAAGCCTGACCCCTCCACCTGGCCACTCTGCCGTCCCTGACATCCTAGACCAGGGAGAGAAGCAGCAGGGCAATAGCAGGGTGAACAGTGGTGCTCTCTGGAAGGGTTGCCATTAACCTGTATTTCCTAATCTTTCTTCCAAAAAGAAGTATAATTTGTCATGTCTTAAAACTTTTTAAAAAACAAGCTACTAGGGGAAACAAATTTGAGATGTGCACCTTTACAAAGGAAAAGTACAATTTAGCCCTCTTTCCCAACCATTAAACAAGCATAAGGGGAGGAAAAAGCCCAGAATGAAGAAGAAACTGTTGTTGGTATTAACACCTTGGTGGATTCTCTGCCATATTCTAAACAAGTACTTCCCTCCCACCTGTGACAGATTCTGACCACCCTAGAACAGTCATGCTGTACCTTTAAACACAGGGGCCTCAGAAAACTAAAAGGATGTGACCTGAGAATATCTGCTTTTGCAAGCATTTCCCAGCGCCCTGTGTTAGGCTTCCTAGGGATGGCAAACATTCTTTTGCAAGCCCGTGACTTGGGGCTGTGTCAATGGGGACAGGGATGTTTTGTCATCCTGCAGGACTTCATTCTGTAAATGTTGTGGTCATAATCCTACTCCAGAAACATGAAACCTCAGGATAATCACAGAATTATTATTATTAACTGGCATTTGAGTGCTTAGTCACTGCGCACAGATGTAAGCATTTTACATCTAATATCTTATTTAATCCTTGCAACAACCTTAAAAGGTAGGTACTGTTATATCCGTTTTAGGCAAAACAAAACAAAACAAAAAACAGAAGCAGAAGGGCTAAATAACCTATCCAAGCTTACACAGATAGAAAGTGATGAGACCAAGATATCAAACTAAACAGTCTGACCCAAAAGCATGCAATCTTGGTAGAGTTGAAATTTATTCCATTTTATATAACATAATTCATTTTAAATGTTAAAATTATCCTAGATATACTATGGACTAGGAGGCATCATTATAAAAAGAGATGGGAAGGTCTGAAGATTGTTCCCCTGCTGCTTGCAGCTATGCACCCCCTTGAGGTGGGGTGGGACTTGGACTTGGCTTGAGAAGCAGCAGAAAGCCAGCTGAACATGCACATGTGAGGGCTGATTTTGAAAGTCTAAGGTGGCCCAGGTGATGCTAAAGCATACTTTGAGTGACACTGCCTTGGGGCATTCCAGGAGACCTCTGAAGCCACAGCAAGCTTTGGGGACACAGGTCACTAGATGATGGTTAAGTCCCCTGAATTGCTAAGGAAACAGATAATCACTTTAAGTCACAGGCACCTCATGTTAAGAAAGCTGTTGACAGAATGGAGTGGAGTAAAACAAGAATTCAGAAACATGAACTCTCAGAGTCCTCTTTACAGGCGTGCATTTAAGATTGCTTTTTCCATGATCAGCATGTACGCTTGACCCCAATTCTCCACAACTGAAACAACTTGGCTAGAAGTTGCCTCAAAAAATGAGCTAGATTTTTCTGGAAAATAACTGACAAAGATGGATACATTGCATATTAATGCTCAAATTAATATATTCTTAATAAAAACTTAGAAAAGGGTTGAGAGGGGAAGAGGTTTTTTTCTTTTTTTTTTTCCATGTGTGTTCTTCAAGAGTCCAAACATGAAGCACGCTGCCTGGGTCTTTGCACTTGTTTGGAAATTGAATAAACATGATTCACTTTAAGGTTTTTCCTCTGTGTTTTAGTCAGACGTCATTACATGTCCATCTACATATGTGAGCTCACCAATTCTGTCCTTCCTCCTTGGCTTAAATTATCTGTTTCAATTGTATTACTCTCCAAGAAAGATGGCTCCAAGCTCAGAAAAGGTTTCAGTAATTTAATTAAGTTGTGCAGAAATGCTGATGCTTTCTGAGGCACCAGCCTGACCTTTCTCTGCTCCTTGCTGGTCTCTGACGGTAGGTCCTGGCTGCTGCCTTCACTTGGGGGAGAGAGACCACCTCTACTCCCTGACTTCCACAAGATCTTTACAGTGGCCAGTGTTTGGCCAAACGTTCAGACTGCCTGGCTCTGCTACTTACCTGCTGTGCCATCCTCGGCAAGTTTTTTTAATCCTCTTTTAAGTGGGTACACAAGCAATCTACTTCAAAGTTGCTATAAAGATTAAATAAGCTAATATATAGAAAGCACTTAGGGCAGTGCCTGGCAAATAGAAAGCATTCAATATATGTTAGCTTTTATTATCAGCCTGCCTAGTAATACTGAAGAAAGTTTTACATAAATCAAGAGCTTAATACCTTTAGAAGCACTCTCAATTCATTACCACTACATTCAAACCTCTCAACAACCATGCAAATGAGACAAGACAATGTTTATGGACACTTCCTATGAGAAAGAATAGGAACTGGTTCAACCGCCGACCGTGGGAGCTGTTTGCCCACCCTCCCTCATTTAAGGCAGAGACCTGCCTCCATCATTTTCATATACCACCCCCAACACACGCACATACTAGCAGGTGCTCAATAAATCCACAGTGAATTGCACTGACTTTAGGGTTGGTTGTGCTGTAAACACAGCAACCCCAGCCTCACGGCAAGAAGCTGGCAAAACAGAATCATCATTCCTGGGCATTCCTGGCCAACTTGAACAGAAACAAGAGGGCTGCCTTTCCCAGTCCCAGCTCCGACTCATCCCTGAGAGGAAAAGGAGCATCTGCAAGAGAGTGGCAGCCAGAGGTCACTCAGAGGGAAACAGCAGAAGTGCCCCTTAACAACCTCTGAGGTAGCAGGGAATTAGGATAATATAATGGGCATTATCCAGACCCTCCCATTGGGCCAAATGGTAATCCACGGAGGTGGTGTTTCAAAGGCAGATAATGTTGCCTTTGCTGACTGATATGGGAGCTGCCTTTCAGTAGAGTACAGGCCAGTCTATAAATACCAGGGATTAAAAGGCTTCCTGTGGGGGCCCAACGGCCATCTACCTAAATACAGAGGTTATCTGGTCCTCCAGGCTCCTCTGGTCCATCCCTCGTCCCTCAGGGAAGAAATGCCATCATCCAACATTACACCCCCTCCAAGGGACCCCCAACCTCTCTTCCACTTCAGCTTGTTTTTGCTAACCAACCCCTCCTTTCCACACCCTCACCAGGACCATTCACTCCCAAGTGCCCCTCCACTGCAACTCCCACCTGGCCCTACCCTCCTCTCTCCAGGCATTTGTTCTCTGCCTCCCTCACCACCTCATCCCCCACCCAACTTTCGAATCCACATATTCTTTACCTGCCATAAAATAACCATAGGCAGAACCGAGCTCAGTGGCTCATGCTTGTAATCCCAGCACTTTGGGAGGCCAAGGCTGGCAGATCACTTGAGCCCAGGAGTTCAAGACCAGCCTGGGTAACATGGCAAAACCCCATCTCTTCAAAAAATACAAAAATTAGCTGGGTGTAGTGGTATGTGCCTGTAGTCCCAGCTACTGGGGTTGGGGGCTGAGGTGGGGAGGCGGAGGCTGCAGTGAGCCTACATAGCCCCACTGCACTCCAGCCTGGACAACAGAGTGATACCCTGTCTCAAAAAAAAAAAAAAAAAAACCCACCACAGGCTTTAGAATCACTCCAACCTTGGTTCTAGTTCCAATACAGTAATTAACAGTACTGAAATGTTTCAGAGCTTGGTTTCCTGATTTATCCAGTGAAGATTAGCCTACCGAGTTAAAGCACTGAGCACACTGCCTGGCACAGGGCACACATTCAATACTTTCTGCCTTTTCCCACTCCCCAGGGGATTTTTCTTCTTTCTTTTCTGGGATACTCTGATATAGACACTCCTTCTAGGTATAATACCTGCTAAATACAGATGTCTTAACCCAAAGGAATAACAGAAATGTCATACACTTTCATCACCAGCAGTATCTCTGTAGCAAGCACACAGCCCCATTAGTAACATAGCCCCATCAGCAACCTTCAAATTCTATGAGAGAGAAGGCTGGTCACTTTGTACTTTGCCACCACAAATGACCCACGTGGTGAGAGAAAGTGATCAGAGGGGATGGGAAAACAGAGTTCAGAGTCACTTTGGGGCCGAGAGCAGTGGCTCATGTCTGTAATCCCAGCACTTTGGGAGGCAGAGGTGGGTGGATCACCTGAGGTCAGGAGTTCCAGACCAGCCTGGCCAACATGGTGAAACCCCGTCTCTACTAAAAATCCAAAAATTACCTGGGCGTGGTGGCAGGTGCCTGTAATCCCAGCTACGTAGGAGCTGAGGCAGAAGAATCGCTTGAACCCAGGAGACAAAGACTGCAGTGAGTCAAGATCGCGCCACTGCCCTCCAGACTGGGTGACAGAGCGAGACTCCATCTCAAAAAAAAAAAAAGTCACTTTGGGTAAGAGCAAGGGATAGATAAAATCTCTGTAAAGTAAGAGCAGCACTTCCATATGAGACTAAGACCCCCCAAAAAGAGTCCCATAATCCCACATTTACATGTAAAAAGATTAAAATTAATTCTGACAGCAAGAACATCTGCCACTTTTACTAGAAATACCATCTGGGCCGGGCACGGTGGCTCACGCCTGTAATCCCAGCACTTTGGGAGGCCGAGGCAGGCGGATCATGAGGTCAGGAGATCGAGACCATCCTGGCTAACACGGTGAAACCCCATCTCTACTAAAAATACAAAAAATTAGCCAGGCGTGGTGGTGGGCGCCTGTAATCTCAGCTACTCAGGAGGCTGTGGCAGGAGAATGGCATGGAGCTTGTGGTGAGCCAAGATCCTGCCACTGCACTCCAGCCTGGGGAACAGAGTGAGACTCTGTCTCAAAAAGAAAAAATAAATAAATAAATAACATCTGTTTAATTTCTGATAAGGCCCAGGCACAACTTTACATAGACCAAGGACTGCCTACAGTATGTCCCTAAAAGGTAGCAGCATCCTAAGGACAGCTCCAAGGCAGTGTGCCATGCCTCTCCCTGGTGTCCTGAAGCTGCTCCTGCAAATTCATGATTAGCCCTGAAATAAACCCAGAGCTTCATCCTTTTCTAAACACCTCCTCCAAAACTTTTAGTCATCACTCTTGAAATCAGAATTAATTTAAGCAAGACTATCTTCAAAAACCAGATAAATACTAGAGCAACATAATAAAAGTCCTGAACAACTTGTGTTTTAGAGGGACTTCCACCATGGTGGTGGGAGGGTTTCTTTTCCAATGAACATTCTTATTTTGCAATTAGTTAAGAGGGTCCCTTCCATGAGGTCTTTAACATCCTCTAGGATCCACCTGTTGCCAAGCTAGTGGGAGTCAGAGCAGAGTCCTCTAAAGAAGTGGGACAGGCCAGTTGCAGTGGCTCATGCCTGTAATCCCAGCACTTTGGGAGGCCAAAGCAGGAGGATCACTTGAGGCCAGGGCTTCAAGACCAACCTGGGGAACACAGCAAGACAAAAAAAAAACACGTTTTTTTTTTTAATTAGCCAGGTATAGTGATGCGTGCCTGTAATCCGAGCTGCTTAGGAGGCTGAGCTGGGAAGATAAGCACTTAAGTCCAGGAGTTCGAAGCTATAGTGAGCTATGATCAAGCCACTGCACTCCAATTTGGGCAACAGAACAAGACCCTATCTCGAAAAAAAAGTCTGGTGACTTAGTTGGTATTAAGCATGAAAAAAATGGGTGCTTCATAGGTAGGCACCCTCATACTTTTCAGATCCTGATGGGGAATTATTAAATGTAAGCCCAATACCCATAGCAAGGAGATATTCAAAGAATATCTACAACGAAAAATGAAAAGTGAACTATGGGGGTTTGCCAGCCACCATTAAACGCAAATTTGGAAAAGGAAATATTTGAAACACACGCAAACACAAAAACAATCAAGTCCTGCAAGAAGATGGCACATGCCATCTTCCAGTCCACTGTGCAAACTGAGATTGGTAAAATTTGACACTGCATTGTCTGTATTTTTCACTAATTGGTAAGTATTTCATGACCCCTGTGCAGCAGGAAGAGAGCAGGGCACATGTGGGAAGGTCTGATAAGCAGAGAACAGAAAGGGCAAGGATAAGAAGTATACTGTAAAAACCCAAGGTGGGAAGGTGGGAAGCCGGGGGCTTAATCAGCTCTGGCCCCAGGACTGAGTTTGAGGAGGAGAATCTCGCATTCTCTGGAAACCGTACTAGGCAGAAATCACTCAGGGCTTTTTTTCCCCCCTCTCAAAATGCAAATACACAGAAGAGGAGCCCACAGAGAAGCTCCAAACCTATTTCCCACCAAGACTGGCTTCAACTCAACCATTCAGTCCCACAAACAGGCAGATTGTTCTGGGAGCAGGTGGAACACCATGGGGAGCACTAAAGTGGTATAGGGAGAGAGGCCTTCCTTAGAGAAGCAAAGCCATCCTCACACAGGCCATCCAGGTTGAAAGCGGGAGAGGATGAGCAGACGCGGGTGGTGTGGCTGTCAGTGAGGACTCCAGCAGCAGAGATGGTTTCACAGAGAAGGCCAGACCTGAATTTTCTGGATGTGACAGAGTTCAGAGAACTGAGCCCACGAGGGGAGTGGTAAAGAGTGTGCCACATACAAGACCAGGAGGCGGAGAGAGGAAACAAGCCTCTCCTTTTGATCACTCTGGATGTGGTCCATCTGCCCTGGAAGGTGGAAAAAGGATGTGGTTCTAAGCTGGCTTCTCTCACTCACTCAGCCCCACATTGACCCTTGCTAACCCCCTCTGTCCAGACCGGCCATGTTCTGCTGAGCTTCACATCCGCAGTCCTGGCCAGTGCTTCCTGTCTGCACATCCGAGAAGCCTCCGTGGTTTGCTGCCACCCACTCTGACAGGGCTGCACTGAAACATGAAGGAGACCATGTAGGCGTCAGCCCCGTTTCTGCTGCTAACCCAACATCTAGCCTTAGGACAAGTCACCCACTACCCTGTGCCTCATTTTCTGTAACTTTAAAGTAGGTAAAGTTACACTCACTGCCTCCTCTCTTCAAGCATAGTGAGGATAAAAGCTGATAACAGTTAATATTTACTGGGTACTTAACTATGTGCCAGATACTGAGTTAACTGCTTAACCATCTAGAATCATTTAATCCTCAAAACCCCCCGTGGAATACACACTACTCTTAACTCCCAATTTCAGTTAAAGAAGCTGGAGCTTAACAAAGTTAAGAGACCTACCTGAAGCCACACAGTCAGACAGAACATTTAACACTACAAAAGGGTCAGCCACTAATTAATACTTCCCCAAACTGCCATTTAAGTATCTTTTAGTTGTCAGACACATACCTATCTTTTTAAATATCCCATTTCATTTGATTTTCATAAAATTCTACAAGGGAGTACTTTTAAATGTAATTTTAATAAATTATTCAAGTTATACATGCCAATAGCAAAAAATTCAAATGAAACAAAAAGCAAGTTTAAGAAGTTAAAGTTCCCTTTATCCTTTACCATTCACATCCAGAATTCCCCACACCAGGCAATAATCAAAATTTTGGTAGCCACCCTTCTATAGATGGGTAGTGTTAACATCATTTCTATCCTACAAATGATAAAACTAAGTATCGGCCAGGCACGGTGGCTCACGCCTGTAATTCCAGCACTTTGGGAGGCCAAGGCAGGTGGATCACCTGAGGTCGGGAGTTCGAGACCAGCCTGACCAACATGGAGAAACTCCGTCTCTACTAAAAATACAAAAAAATTAGCCGGATATGGTGCCACATGCCTGTAAGCCCAGCTACTTGGGAGGCTGAGGTAGGAGAATCGCTTGAACCTGGGAGGCAGAGGTTGCGGTGAGCCGAGATCAGGCCATGGCACTCCAGCCTGGGCAACAAGACCGAAACTCCCTCTCAAAAAAAAAAAAAAAACAACTAAGTATCAAAGAGGTTAAATTTGCTCAAGGTCATATGGCTGATACATGGCAGAACTGAGACTGAAGCAGGGTCACTCTGATTCCGTGGATACTTTCTGAGAAATGTGTCATTAGGCAATGTTGTTGTGTGGACATCACAGAGTGTACTTACATAAACCTAAATGGCATAGCCTACTATACACCTCAGCTACATGGCATAGCCTAGGCTACAAACCTGTACAGCAGATATGTTACTGAATACTGTAGGCAACTCTAACATGATGGTAATTGTGTATCTAAACATACTTAAACATAGAAAAAATACAATATGGTATAAAAGATAAAAAATGGTACATCTGTATAGGGCACTTACCACGAATGGGGCTTGCAGGACTGCAAATTGCCCTGGGTAAGTGAGTGAATGGAGTGTGAAGGCCTAGGACATTACTGTACATTACTGTAGACTTTATAAACACTGTACACTTAGGCTACATATTTTTTAAAATTTTTTCTTCTATAAATTAACCTTAGCTTACTGTGACTTTTTTACTTTATAAACTTTTTAATTATTTTAAACTTTTTGACTCATTTGTAATAACACCTAGGTTAAGACATACAGCTGTGACAAAATATTTTCTTTCTTTATATCCTTATCTATAAGCTATTTTCTATTTTAAAAAATCTTTTTTTGTTAAAAAACTAAGACACAAACACACACATTAGCCTAGGCCTACACAGGGTAAGGATCATCTATATCACTATCTTCCATCTCAGCATCTTATTTCACTAGTAGTCTTCAAAGGCAGGAACAGAACTGTTATTTCCTGTAACAATGCCTCCTGGAAAACCTGCTGAAGGATCTGCCTGAGGCTGTTTTACAGTTAACTGTTTTTTTGGGGAGTTTTTTCCTAAGTAGAAGGAGTACAGTCTATATTGATGACAAAAAACATGGTATAGTAAATATATAAACCAGAAACACTGTTATTATCATCAAGTATTATGTACTATACATAATTGTATGTGCTAGACTCTAATACAACTGGCCATGCTGTAGCTTTATTTGTAACAGCATCACCACAAACAGGTGAGTAATGCATTGTGCTATGACCTTACCATGGCTACAATGTCACTAGATGATAGAAATTTTTCAGTTCCATTATAATCTTATGGAACCACCATCATATATGCAGCAAAATGTTATTACACTGCACATGACTGTATGCACATGTTCGTATTTTTGTTCCATTAGTACACAAATACATGCTGACTTTAGGGTACCTGTAACGAGATGGGGATGGAGGAACCAAAAAGGGGCTGTTGCTATCATGTTGCTGTTTGCTGTTCCTTGGCAAGTTAATCAAGTCTGCAATCCTAGGAGGTTTCCCACCTCTCAACATGTGCTATCATACCGGTGTCTGATTTAGCATTTGAACCCCAGCTGACTGAACATCACTACTACATACAAGTACAGTTGCTGCCATATGCATACTGGTTGCCAAAGGTCTTATCTTTCCCATTTGTAAAATGGGAGTACAATCTTCCTGACAGTATGCGATATCTTACATGAAAGCAGTTTGGCCGGACGCTGTGGCTCACGCCTGCAATCCCAACACTTTGTGAGGCCAAAGTGGGCAGATCACTTGTGGTCAGGAGTTCGAGACCAGCCTGACCAACATAGTGAAACTTCATCTCTACTAAAAATACAAAAATTAGCCAGGCGTGGTGGTGGGCGCCTGTAATCCCAGCTACTCGGGAGGCTGAGGCAGGAGAATCGCTCGAACCTGGGAGACAGAGGTTGCAGTGAGCCGAGATCGCACCACTGCACTCCAGCCTGCGCAACAGAGTGAGACTCCATCTCAAAAAAACAAAAAGCAGTTTGTAAAATGAAGAAATCTTTACTGCTATGAATATGGATGTCCAGTCTGCACAGTAAACACAGAGAAACGTAAACCATCCTCAAGGCGGTTGAAATCTATGAGGAGAAGAGACTAACCAAAACACTGGGCCGGGGTGGTAGCTCATGCCTGTAATCCCGGCACTTTGGGAGGCTGAGGCAGGCGGATCACTTGAGTCCAGGAGCTCAAGACCGGCCTGGGCAACATGGCAAAACCCCGTCTCTGCAAAAAAATCCAAAAAAATTGGCCGGGCATGGTGACACATGCCTGTAGTCCCAGCTATTCAGGAGGCTGAGGTGGGAGGATCGCATAAGCCCGTAAGGTCAAGGCTGCAGCGAGCCGCGATGGTACCACTACACTCTAGCCTGGGCGACAGAACAAGACCCTGTTTCAAAAAACAAACAAACAAAAAAGCCAAAAAAACACTGGAGAACAACTCAAAATGTATAATTAAGTGTTAAACTTTTGTGCTGCAAAGAATTCCTTTGGGGAGATAATTAGTATATAGGAAAGAGCATCTGATAAATACTTGATCAATTAATGAGTTCAGATGTGTTGCCTGAAAACCACCTCACCTGCTGCCTTAACATTAGCCTCCTAATACCTTCACTATTCACAGAAAGCTATACCAACACCAAAACCCTGAAGTCTGTTCATTCTACAATTGCTCACGTATAACCCAAGAGAAAAGCATGTCAGCATTTGTACAGAGCACCCTTCTTTCAACGATGTGCTTTAAAAAAAGCATGGACAGACCTTCAAAGGAGATGACCCACACAATTATGTAATTCCAGAAGCAGTAGAACTGCCCCCCCAAAAACAGTTCAATTGTGGAGAACAAAGAGAAAAGTGTTAACTACTTCCTTGCCTGCAACCTGACACACTGGATACTAAATATATTTCTCTCCAAACTACAGAGGCAAATGTGTAAGTTGACTTTCAGGAATGAATGATGCCTCCCAAGGCTTTTAAAAGAACAGAATTCTAGAAACAAAGATCTGCTACCTAAAAATTAGCAGGGATGACTTTCTGGTCTTCAGCCCCATAATAAGGGGACCCTATAGTTTGTTTCTGATTGGCCTTGCTAAAACATTCTGGACAACCTCTAATACCCTCTCTCTCCTTCACCTCCCACTGCCATGGTTCCTGAGCTGACTTCTTTTCCTGCCACCAGACAGGGTGAACTTGGTGAATGTTAACAGCTTTTTAACACCCTGTTTATATTTGTTTTTCACTCAAACCAGGCCTCCCTACAAATGACTCCATTTTTAGAATTTCATCAATAATACCACTCTTTCATTCCTTGTCATCAAGGCTCATAACCTCAAAGTCACCCTGCCCTCCTATACTTGTTATTTTAATCCCCTACACCTGGTCAATCATTTATTAATCATCCAATTAATCCAGGAGGGGGTACAAGGAAGTGGATCAGACAGTCACCAACCTCAGGGAACTTCCAATGTCAGCCTGGAACCAGGGCCTACACAGAGATGGCCACCCAAAGAGGTAAAATATAGGGGGAGGGCGTACGTTTACTGGGAACTAGGTCCTTTACTGTCCCCAGCAGGTTGTAAAGCCACAAATATATCAGGAAAAAGATCTCACAAATCAACATTTCTATCTAAAATTGAGGCTTGAGGGAGATGGAAGAAAAAAGATTCCCTAAGGAATTCATGCCACTGATCCTCTTATTCCCCTTCTCCCAGTTTCTCATAGTTGAACCCACATCTCCTTTTTTCTTTTAATTAAAAATAGGATATGTCAAGGTCTGAAAACATTCCCAGATTAAAAACTAGTTGATTAAATAAAGCAAGAAACAGGAATCCTCAAAGCACACCAAACTGTTAGACCTAGCTCACTGCAGAGAAAGACAATTCATTTATTTAATGGGGAGACTAGGGGAAACTCTCTAACGATACTTTTCAAGTTCTTCCCTTCCAGGATGACTGTGGTTTGGAGCACAGAAGTAACTGACAAATCCCAAACAATCAAGCTGAAAGTCTACCGTACACAAAAAATTCCTCCAACACTACTCTCAAATTAAAAACCTCGTGAGTATTCCCGCAGTATGCTAACTCCATGCCAGCAAGTATTATGACCATTTTGTTCTTTGTTCACAACTGTATACCTAGTGCCTAGAACAGACATCCACTAATTATTTGCCAGACAACTAGACTTACTTCCCTTTGGTTTCTGCAGCAACCACCTACCAGCCTCCCACCAGTCTGACATCATAGCCTAACCAGATTATCGGCTCACAAATTATTATGACTTGAGGGTACATGTAAAGGAAAGATGGATCGATGAATTCTTATGAAACTCAGAGCCTGTTTTTCTTGCTATTCTGCTGTGTAACAAGCAAAATTCCCACAGGACAGAAACAAGGAGGCAGACGGTCTTCCCATGGCAGAGTTTCTACCTGGAGGCAGATGGAGGATTGATAAAGGGGTAGACCAGATAACATATCATTGGTTACTTTTCTAGCAATGGCTCAAGCATGCCAACTGAAACAGCAGCACCCACTAAACACAAGACTCTGTTCACCGGCTTTCTGGGATGGGGAAAGCCAGTATATATGACTTGCTTCCTTTGTGCCTGGTTAGAGACATACAGTTATAGATGTGTGTTCACGCTGCATTTAGGTGGGTAGCTGATTCCACATACAATAAGCCCAAGGAAGTCGAGACACAGCTCTGAAGGGTTTGGTAGGTTAATGGGGTGTAGGTGTGGGATCAGTTCTCCCAGACAGAGCACACATCCCATTGGCCTGGGGTCAGGTGGTTTTTTTTTGTTTGTTTGTTTTGAGACAGGGTCTCAACTGTGTCACCCAGGCTGGAGTACAGTGGCACCATCATAGCTCATTGCAGTCTTGACTTCCCAAGCTCAAGCGATCCCCCAACTTCAGCCTCCCAAGTAGCTGGGACTACAGGTGTGTGTCACCATGCCCAGCTAATTTTTAATTTTTTTTTTTTTTTTCTGTAGAGATGTGGACTCTCACTATGCTGCCCAGGCTAGTCTTGAACTGGTCTTGAGCAATTGTCCCACCTCAGCCTCCCAAAGTGCTGGGATTACAGGTGTGAGCCACCGTACCAGGCCAGGTGGCATTTTTGAATGGCAAAGATACACAGCACAGAGATTTAAAAGTTAAGCAGGCACAGCCTAAACACAACTACACCGATTTTTTAAAGTGAAAGCAAGTTTATTAAGAAAGTAAAGGAATAAAGAATGGCTGCTCCATAGGCAGAGCAGCCCTGAGGGCTCTGCACCCATTTTAAGAACAGTTTTCTTTCAGAAGAATTGGACTTAATGACTCACTGCCTTTGTAATTTCACTATTAGACTCAAAACTACAATCACAGAAGTAACTTGAATTTGTTCCCAAAAATATGAACCACGACACCCTGCTGGACTCCCAACCCCCATTCCGGGACCAGGCCCAGAAGAGGGGGAGAAACAAAGAGGTGATCACACCGGGAGGGAAAAGCACTAGACTAGGAATCAGGGGCTCTGGCTTCTCCACTAGCCCTTTCACCTCTCAGGCAAGTCAGCTCTGAGCATCCATTTCCCACTTGCATTTCTTTAAAATGAGGAGGTAGAATAAGAAGAACCCCAAAGGCCCATTTTTCCAACTCTAACATTTCATGAACCTAGAACCTCTCTTCATATACTTTGTTGTGCTGGGAGTTTTGGTAGCATCTAGATAGCAACAGTGAAGCATCTGGATCTTCAACTAAGAGTCTCATCTCACTTCACTCAACCTTTGGAAACTCTTAGGATTTGAGAATCAAATTTGCATTAACAGGTAAGGCCTGCTTCAAATCACAAAATTTTTGGCAATGAATTTTGGCAGGGAAGTTATGGCTGCATTCACACACATTTACACACACACACACAGGAGGGAACTTTCTAGAAGAACTGATCCTTGGCCTTGGCTCCAGATACAGGAATCCAGAGAAGAGAATTCAAGTTCCTAGTTTTTGTCTGTCTTGCTGGACAAAGGGCATATGCCCTATCCCTCCTGTTTCTCTGCAGTGTAACCATCTTGATCCTCCGTTAAATCATTAGGTAGCCTGCATATGCACACTTTCAAGAGCTTTTAGTAGGGATCTACGATCAGGGAAAGCAAGACTAGCTGTTGAAAGCAAGACTAGCTGTTGGTCACAAGTGCTAGTACAGGCTGAGTGTCCTTTATCAGAAATGCTTGGGATCACAAATGTTTTAGATTTTCGAATATTTGTATATACATAATCAGGTATCTCAGGGATGGGACCCTGGTCTAAACATAAAATCCATTTATGTTTCATTTACACGTAATACACATAGACTGAAGGTAGTTTTGACTGTGACCTAAAACATGAGGTCAGGTGTGGAATTCTCCATCATGTGGGTGCTCAAAAAGTTTAAGATTTTGGAGCACTTCATATTTCAGGTTAGGGAAACTCAACCTGTGGTTCCAATTGGAACAAGGGCAAAAGGAGACATTCTGTTGCATTATTTCATTAATATGGTTGGCATGATGTAAAACCACACAGGGACACATCCTGTAGAGGAAATGACACTCCAAGCAGCACCATCTGCTCCTTTTTGTGTCTGGCATGATCTGTTTTTAACCTCGGGTTACACCTGAGGTCCACCTGGAAAAGCCCTGTGGGGGCTGCTCTAAAGAGCACTCTTTCTCAGATCTACATTTTCAGGGCACTCACAGACCCTCTCCCTCCTCCCTACCTTGCTGGCTGGCTCTCTGTTCAATAAGCATTCCACTCCCCAACCTAGCAGAAGCCTTTGAGCAGGTGCACAGAACCCTGGCATGGAATTTTTCACAAGAAAAGGAAAAGCTTCTGAGAACTATAAATCACATTTGATAAGGAAGGCTTTGGGGGTTCATGGTAAAGTCCTCTCTATAAAACACAAAGATGAGATTTAGAGCTGAGGCTTCGCATTGAAAATCCTCTTTATTTGTTTAAAGCAGCAGTACATGTGCATTGAATTTAGGCACTATCGCGTCTGTCAACTCTCACCAATGGTTAAAGTTCTGCACCAAATATTTGGAAACAATGCTACTGGAGAGTTCAAACTTAAAAACAGGATTCTCTCTTTTTGTTTTTGGGTTTTGGATTTTTTTTTGGTGGCACCTTTTCTTGATTCAGGGCAATATCCGCAACACCACAGTAGGATCAAGAGTTTACTAAAACACTGTTCTTCCTCAAACAAACTGCATAACCTAGGAGAATGTTAACCACAAAGTAGAGATATGGATGGATGCAGCTTTAAAGGTATCTCCTTGAGAAATGAAAACATATACCCACAGAAAAACTTATACACACGTTCTTAGCAATACTGCAATATTATTCATAACCAAAAAACAGAAACAACCCAACTGTCCATCAGCTGATGAATGGATAAACAAAATGTGGTATATCAATACAACAGAATAGCATTCAGCAATAAAATGGAATGAAGTACTGATACATGGTAAAACATGAATAAGCCTCAAAAACATTATGCTAAGTGAAAGAAGCCAGTTATTAAAGACCACATATCATATGATTCCATCTATATGAAATGTCCAAATAGGCAAACCTATATAGAGAGAAAGATGAGTGGTTGCCTAGGGCTAGGTGGGATTGTAGAGAAATAGGGAGTGACTTTTTGGGGTGATGAAAATGTTGCAAAATTAGATTATGGTGATAGATGTACAACTCTGTAAATATACTAAAAACCACTGAATTGTACTTTAAATGGGTGAATTTTATGACCTGTTAAAAAAAAAAGCTAAGTGAAAAAAATACAAAGCTGAATGTACAGGTACTACCATCTGAAGATGGAAAAAACAGAATACACATTATGTTAGGGTGGTAGAATCATGCTGATTTTTTTTCCCTTTTATTTTCCAAGCTATCTGTAATCTTGTGCCTCCCCACCAAAAAACATCTCTCAGTCTTCCTTCAAACAGTTTGCATAGACTGCTATAATTTAAAATGCAAATTAAGCAAAATCACCTTGTACCCTTTTTGCAGTTACCTTTTACAAGCCTCCGTCCACTTAGTTTGCTGAGCTCAACTGAGAACAATCTAAAGGAAGAATTGGATAAACAGGCTCTTATGCCATTCCCAGAAGCCAGTTTCATTTTACTGTCTTTGTCAGAAGCTGAAGCCTAGTCTAGTCAAAGAAAATTTCAGCAAGGACAGTTTACATAAAGGGCAATTCCACACTCTAATCTTAAATTTCTGTGGGTGAAGGCAAGTCACTGCTGGCAGTAGGTTGGACTTAGAAATATGAGACATTCCCTCTCCTCTACAAAGGGTAGCAAGAAAGGGGAGGCTGAGAAAGATCTCTATTTGTGTCCCTTCTCTGAGGTTTTGTATCCAATCTCCAACTGCAGAATCCTGAATCATTTTTCACCAGAGAAGATCCTCTTCTGAGTAATAAAGAATTGTCAGTCACCACCTCTGCCGTCTGCAAACCCACTGAGAATCTATTACTGTCATCAGGAATCCCAGGCTAACTTCCCTCAAATCAAGGAAGGAGGCTTTGCCAAAAAATAAAATAAAATAAAACACTTGTGTATGTGTGTAGGAGCGGGGAGTACATTTAGGGGCACACTGCTGTCAGGTAATTTTAAGGATCTACTAACACTGGCGACAGTAACAGGGAACTACATCTGTTTCTGTTTGAGAAAAATGCTTCAGTAATATCCTGTTTCAGGAGTACTGTGTGAATTCTTGGCACGCAGCCTTCAGATGTTTCAAGGGTGGCTATTTTCCTTTTTTGAGATAGAAGAGCCAGGGAGGGAGACTACATCACAGGCAACACCACAGTCTGTGAAATTAGTTTCAGTTCTCACTGCTGCACTTCCTGCTGTCGCTGTATCCAGTACCTTCACGGACGCTTAACTGTCCCAAGCCTTGACAGTAGTACAGTTGGCCTTTCACGGCTGAAGTGACCCAGCTCAGTGCCACTGCAAGGTCCACCAGTGGAGCGACTTCCACACTCAAGTAAGAACCAGAGGATGAGAGAGCAAATGGAGGCACCCTGCTGGTTTCCAGGCCAAAAAAAACTAAAAAGGGAAGAAAAAGGACACCATCGCAGACACATCAGCCCAAGAAGAACACAGGTGCCTAACAGGCTCTGCTGCGAAAACCTAAGCCTTGTAAGAGGCACCTTTCCCCAGAACTTGTACTTTTTAAGATGAAAGGTTCTTACACAGAAACACAAACTTACACTCATCCAAGGGACACACAATGGCTGTTGCCTTGAATCCAAGCCAGGGGTGGAGTGAACAGATCTTGACGCGCAAGGACAGTCCACCCAAAGGTTCCTGAGTACTATGGAGCTCGTGAGAAACCTGGGGAAAGAGTCTCTATTTCCCCTAGTTTTGCATTTGTCCCAAAGCTTACATTTAACCAAATGTCCTAATCCTCAACATTCAAGTCTGCAACAAAGCAATGTTTGCTCTCAAAGTTGAAAAGAAGACAAGACATGGGGCTCCCTCCTCTATTGGCTCCTTCTGATCTTTCTCCCACTGCTTGAGCGAACACCCTCTAACAAGACTTCCATAGTGTCCAGACAGAAAGAAGAGGGAAAATAAATCCTGCTTGTCAGCTTCAACTAGGAGATAGCATGTCATTTCAGGAGCTTAATAACTCACTTCATGTATGGCAATTACACAACCTGGGCCCAATGGATCTGCTGACATTCGGGCCTGCAAGTGTGAATTGTCTCTTAATAAATGGGGAACTAGAGGGGAAAGACAACCACGTGTGCCCTCTGGCCTTCCCTCTCTGCTGGCAAGTGGTTCTGCTTCATTCTCCACAGTTCACTTGTTTGGTACTGAAATGAGGAAGAGTATGTACCTCACTATTTTTTTTTAAAGATGCTGTATTTCTCCCAGCCTACAAATGATACCAGTAGTAACTTGGTTGTCAGAAGAGCTAAGGATATGAAAAAAGGGCAGAAGAAAATATTTGAAGCAAAAGCCAAGTTTTTATGTGGGAAATGGACAAGTGTGGAGGGAGTGAAACAATGCTTAGTAGCAATAAACTTGAAAGAAGTTCTAACTTTAAAGAAACCAGGTGAATTATTACCTTTTGGAAGGGGTGTGTGTGTGCATGTAGAGGGAAGGCTGCTGCAGGAATTGCTGCCCCACCAAAAGAGCAAAGGAGGACATCCCCTACTGAGAGATGCAACATTACATAAGAACACAAGTTCAGGCCGGGCACGGTGGCTCACGCCCGTAATCCCAACACTTTGGGAGGCCAAGACGGGCAGATCACCTGAGGTCAGGCGTTCGAGACCAGCCTAGCCAACATGGTAAAACCAAGTCTCTACTAAAAATACAAAAATTAGCCAGGCGTGATGACACGCACCTGTAGTCCCAGCTGCTCAGGAGGCTGAGGCAGAGAATCGTTTGAACCTGGGAGGTGAAGGTTGCAGTGAGCCGAGATCGTGCCACTGCACTCCAGCCCGGGTGACAGAGCGAGACTCCATCTCAAAAAAAATAAAAAATAAAAAAGAACACAAGTTCAATCACCACACCTCAGAGACTGACCAGGAAAACAGACAAAGTGCTGAGGTCTCTTTATCTGCCAGCCTGTATCTGTAACACCTCATTCTACCCTTCTTTCTCTTCTATCTCACCAAATTCTGGGCTTTCAGAAGGCAGGCTTCAGCGAAAGAAGTCAAACTTGCCCATTTGACAGTGGGTTTGCTCTCAGGGTTTAAACACTGAGCACCCTGGCACCTGTCTCTATCTAGGTGTAAGTGAGGATTTGTTTCATATGCCATTTCTACTACAGTATCCAAAAAATTACTCTGCAGACAGGAAGTCCTATCTATCAGGACTCATACCAATACTGTCCTCTGTTTAACTCGCTGGGCAGAAGTTCCTTCAGCAGCAAATGGCCAGCAATGAAAGCTAACAACATAAACCAAAACAAATGGACTTAAAGGCTGTGAGTCCATGAGAGCTGGATTCTGACTTATTCAATGCAGTACCTGCAATACCTAGCACAGTGCCTGGCATACATTCGGTATCACATAACTACTTGGGAGTACTGAATGAAAGAATGAACAAATGAATCTTATGCAAACATACCGTAAGTGTGTACCCAGGAGAAAGAGTTTAGAATGCTCATGATCTGAGAAACAGCCTGAAGCAGCAGTGCTTTCAGAAGGTTTTAGAAAGACTCCAGGTTCAATTTTATCAAAAGGTAAACAAACCAGAAACTAGCAGTATAATCTAGTAGTTCAGACTGTGGGCTCCACCATGAGATACCTATGTGACATGGGCGAGTTATTTAACTTGTTTGGTTTGGGTCTCAACTAGAAGAATGGGGATAATAATATCTACATCAAAAGTCTGTTATTAAATGAGTTCAAAAAAGTAAAGCCCTTAGCACAAAGGTTGGTACTCAGTAAGTCCTCAAGAACCTTTCCATATTATTGCTGCTTAAATACCTTCTTTCCTGAGATGTAGACATACCTCCCCCAACTCCAGGAAAATTTTAATTTCTGGTTGAATATGCTTCTAGCTAAAAACACAAAACCCAGAGAACTCAGAAGTCAGTGCCAAGCACATGTCTCTACTAGCCTCCACTAGATGGTGACAGTTTGGGTGTGGAATTCCCAAAACAGAAAAGGTGTGTGTGCGTAACTCCTATGTATGTTTTTACACCAGAGGAACGAAAACAGCAAGAAATGAATTAACTACTGTGAAGGAAAGACATACTTCCCATCTCTGTAGATCAAAAAAGGGAGTAAATCCCTAGGCCTAATTGAACTGAGTAATCTTACTGCACCTCTGGAAGAGCACACAGGAGCCCAGTTAGCGAGAGCAACAAAGCCCAGCATGTCGCCTGCCACTGAAAGAAAATTCTGTGGGAACAACAGCTTTAGGCCTCCTTGCCCAGACGCCAACTTCCCTTTAACCAGCCCAAGACTTTATTTTGACGCCTCTTTGCTCCTGGGTCTTGCTGTCCCCATAACCACCTCCCCCTCCTGCTCCTAAATTCGTCCAGGGTAACTTTTCTCCACTTCAGCAGCTCCCCAGCCACGACTCCCATGAGGGAGAGTCAGATCCACACTCATAGCTGGGGTCTCAAAACCAAGCGAAAAAAGGAAAGTCTGTATGTACGTGCCTACTTTTTGAAAGAAAATAGCTGGTTTCGGGGAGTTTAGCCTGGTTAATAAGAGAAGTTTTTGAGATTAAAGAGCAGCCGAGGCGCGGGGGCTCCCGAATGCCGCGGTGCGCACAGGCGGGCTCTGAGATTTCCTCAGGAAATCCACCTTCTCTAAGCCAGCCCTGCCCCAGCGCAAGCCCCGCAGCTTTGCTGGGCTGAGGGCAGTAATGACAGTGGCACAGAGGGCCTCTGCCTACCTCCTCTGCACCCATCGGCACGGCGTCTGGCTCTTCCGGTGCTGCCCGGGCAGCGACGCGGGACGGCGCGCCCCGGACCGCGGGTCACCAAGTTCCCGGCCGCAAACCAGCCGCCGGTCCCCCCGGCCGCGCAGCCCCCACTGCTGGCCGGCTGGCCGCGCCACGCCAGCGCGGGGCTCCCAGCGGCGCGGCTCGCGGCCGGGTGACAGCGGGCCGGCGCAGAGAAGCGCGGGGAGCCGCCGAAGCCGGCCCGGGCTCCGGCCAGCGTCACTCCTGGGCGGTGCGCGCTGGTCCCGCGCCCCTGACAGCCGGCCGAGCGCGTCGATGGCACAATGCCGGCCCCGCCGCCCCCGGGCCGCGGTGACAACTCACCCGGGAGCCGGCGGAGACCTCCGGGATGGGGGCGCTCACAGCTTCCACGCCGCCGCTTGCGCGCGCCCGCAGTCTTCTCGGGTCTAGGCGAGGCCCCGCGTGCCCTTGTCTAGCT